>NC_000002.12:28437372-28590123 GCF_000001405.40 Homo sapiens | reverse complement strand
GAAGCCCAGTGCAGCCGGAGCCTGGAAGGACGTGCTTTCCACTCTACCTGGTTCGGACATGTGATATTGATCTTGTTTTCAAACTTATGACGAGTCGTCTTCTGGCCAACAGGCTCCAGCTAAACAAAGAAGCAGGGAGATGGGGAGTGAGGAAGAGGCGGCCAGAATGGAAAGCTCAGGACGCAGGTCAGGGGTGCGGGAGGCAGGGAGGGATGAAGGAGATGGGGTTTGTTTGTCATTGCCGTGCATAGAATCACATGGCCTGCACGATGGGCCTCCGAGGTCCTCCAAAGGCTTTGTGAAGTCTTTTTCTTACCAGAGGGAGGATGCATTTTCCTACCGCAGCCACTTACCATATTGTTCCAGAGAGCACTGGCTGCTCGGGAGTGAGACTTGCTGCTGAAGTGGAAACAGTCAGGAGCGAAGAAAGAGTTGTCAGGCAATCCTTCCTGGTCACCGGGCAGAAAAAGAGAGGCAGTTATAGACACACTGGATCATATAAGTGACACTCAGAAACAGCCACACACTATCTGTGGATTCTATTTTTCTACGATGCTTGCTTTCTTTACCGAGGTCTTTGGCATGTCCACGTTTTCAAAGAACGGCTGCACAACCACAGTAAAATCTTCCCTTGTGTCATATCGCCCACTCTCAATCAGTTGGTGGGTCTTCTCCTGCAGGAGGAAAAGGGGACAGATGTCAGGCAGTCCTCTCTGCATCTGCTCGGTCCTTGATTGATCTCTTTCTCCAACACAGAATTAAACAGAATCTGACTGTTGAGTGAAATCAACCTGGTGCAAAATCTCAACTGAGATTTTACATTTTAGATCATTTACATTTTAGATCAGCCTTTATCTCAACCCCTGGCCCCAAACTCTGCTGCGATTGCATATATTTGAGCTAGTCTGTGAAAAGGGAAAGGTAAGAAAAGTCTATCAGCTTGACCTTTTTTTTTTGGGGGGACAGAGTCTCACTCTGTCACCCAGGCTGGAGTGCAATGGCGCGATCTTGGCTCACTGCAACCTCCGCCTCCCGGGTTCAAGCGATTCCCCTGCCTCAGCCTCTGGAGTAGCTGGGATTACAGGCGCCTGCCACCACGCCTGGCTAATTTTTTGTATTTTTAGCAGAGACGGGGTTTCACTATGTTGGCCAGGCTGGTCTCGAACTCCTGACCTCGTGATCCACCCGCCTCGGCCTCCCAAAGTGCTGGGATTACAGGTGCGAGCCACCGCGCCTGGCCAGCTTGACTTCTTTTAAAGCTATTCTGATTAAAGACGTGAGGGGTGGTTTTTGGTTAAATGACATTTTGAATAATCCTAACAATTTATTTCTGTCCTACATTTGTTCAGAAAAATCAAAGGTGAATCAAAATTTAATGTATATTTATATTGCCTGTGCATGGTGTGTGTGCACTTCTTTGAGGCTCTCAGATCTGTGTAACCCTCACAGCTTTTGCTTGGGGTCACTGCTAGGAAAATCTGTTACCCCAGTTCCGGCTCCCACTCTAGGCTGACTCAGCCATTCCACTGCTCACCAGGGTTTCTGCCACCTCGGGGTACTGGCTGGAGAGGGAAGTCAGGCTTACATACCTGGGAATGTGAATGGGGTCACTTCAGAAGACACCACACACTGTCTTTTCCCAGGGTCAATTCCCAGGCCAGGAATGTCTCATGTCTGACCTCCCAAGCCAGTGGTCAGCCTTGAGTAAGGCATGAGGAAAGGAGAGAAGGTCGTCTCTCAGAAGAGGGGAAGGAAGTGAGGTGCTGTGAACTAGCAGGGTGACTTCCAGCATGCTGCTTCCCTTTTAGTAAATGGAGGATGTTGGCTGAGTCCTGGGCCATCTCTTAAGTCCCTTCCAACGCTACTGGTTACTCGGGGGATAGCCAGATGGGCTCACAGTGGAACCATACACCTTTTGGCAGTGGAAAGAAATAGTGTGTAGAGTCCCTGGCACATGGCAAGTGGTAAGTGAGTGACTGTGGTTATTAATAGAAATGATCATCTCCAGGGAGAGTGAGAGAGCCGTAGCTTCTGTGGGAAGTAGGGCGTGAGATGATTCTGAGACAGGGCATGATGGCCACACACGGCTGACACACGGGCATCTCCAAAACACTAGATCAGGGCCTCAGTGACGACCAGGATCAGCCCTGGGAACATCTGGCCTGTCTGCAGAGGCTGGGAGGGCGATGTTGATCAATCTTTCTCCTGCTTTTCAGCTGCTCAGCATCTGAACCCACTTCCAAGTTTGGAGACCCCACTGCATAGAGAGCAGCCTGCCTCCCACTGTGGAGACTAAAAAAGATGAGAGAACGCCTGCTTTCCTAACCGCTCTTGCAGCCAGGGCGTGGGTATGTGACTGAGGCTTCAGCAATCATTGCCTGTGTCAGGGATGGCAAAACATCCATTCTGCTGAAGGTGGCAGCTGCAACCAGTTCCTAGAAGCAGCAGTGACAGTGGAGTCTGTGATGTCTTCCCTGGACCAGGTCTGTGGCCTGATTTTGATTTTTTTTTTTTTTGAGACAGTCTCACTGTGTCACCCAGGCTGGAGCGCAACGGTGCAATCTCGGCTCACTGCAACCTCCGCCTCCTGGGCTCAAGTGATCCTCCCACCTCAGCCTCCCGAGTAGCTGAGGCTACAGGCATGTGCCACCACGTCCGACTAATTTTGGTATTTTTTGCAGGGTTTCACTATGTTGGCCAGGCTGGTCTTGAACTCCTAAACTCAAGTGATCCTCCCGCCTTGGTCTCCCAAAGTGCTGGGATTATAGGCGTGAGTCACCACGCCCAGCATTGATTTTGATTCTTATGGCTTGGCCCCTAGAAGTCCATGATTCCATGATTCCTGATGGCATAGCTCCGGACCCTAGCTCTCTAGCTCTGTCAGAGATTGTGTAAATATTAAATCTGCTTAAATTAGCCAGAAACTGCATGAACTTTAGTTGCGTGCACCCAGTAACCCCAATTGAAACAGGGTTGCTCTCATGGCCATAACCTCAGCTGCCGCCCCTCTTCTGATGTGGGCCAGGGACTTCCTCCCCAGAGTCACAGGTGCCTGCTCACAGCAGAAGGAAGTGTGGCTTGGCGCGGTGGCTCACACCTGCAATCCCAGCACTTTGGAAGGCTGAGGCGGGTGGATTGCTTGTGTGCAGGAGTCCAAGACCAGCCTGGGCAACATAGTGAAACCCAATCTCTACTAAAAAATACAAAAAGTAGCCGGGTGTGGTGGCACACACCTGTAGTCCCAGCTACTTGGGGGACTGAGGCGGGAGGATCACTTGAGGCTTGGAGGTCAAGGCTGCAGTGAGCCAAGATTGTGCCACTGCACTCCAGCCTGGATGACAAAGTGAGACCCTGTCTCAAATAGATAAATATATAAAAATAAATAAATACATAAAATAAAGGAAGTCCAGCTAGGGAGTCATCCCGAGTGCTAGGTAGTAGTCACAAAGGATAATAAATACAGGTTCATTTCCCTGAGCCCTGACATACCTGGCAGGTCTAGCTGCCCCCAAAATGGGTGGCAGGGAAGTGGTACTGCCCCCAAGGAGTCCAGGGACTCCTGGAAGGATGGATCCACTCTGGTAGCTGTTTGCAGCCTAGTCTAGAAGAAAGGCCTACCACTGTCCTCTTCAAGCTTGTTGGGGAGAAACTTTTTGCTGGGGAGAAACTCGATTGTTAAGGGAGTCAGCTGTTCTGGTCAAAGATGTGGTAGAGAAAGGACTAAAATGAACAACTCACAAGATGGAGATCATCTCCTGACTTTCTTTCTCCTTGTGCTCTCCCAAGATCATCCATTCTATAGGAGCGGAGGGCAGAGGGAATGCACCCTGTGTCACTGAACCCTGGAGAGCCTCAAGGGAGGGAGGACTTTCAGCCTCCGTTTCCCACCCAGGAGCTGGAAGTTCAGAGAAGTTTCATTGCCCATGTGTCTAACATTCCACAACCAGCGAGCAGAGTCGAGGTTTGGGTCTGGATAGATCCACTCTGAAACTTCTTTCCATGATCCATGTTTGCCCATGGACAAGTGGAAACGTTCGTTTCATTTAACGACCAGGAACTGAGATTCAGTGGGTCATGTTCAGGGACTTGGTTCTGTGGTGCAATTCATACAAACCAAGTAGCAGCCCCTGCTGTGTCTCAGGGTGTTTTAAAATCAGCAAACTAGTCAGTGGTCATCCCCCACACAGGGTCAAAATTACCTAAGCACTGACTTGTTCTCTAGACAGAGCAATCGAATCACACAGCAGTTCTGGGAAGTCTTAGAACCCCTTCCCGGCTTACCTGAAACTTCTTGTTGAATTCGATGAGGGTAGCAAGTTCTGTTGAGTTATCATCAAACTTCAGGACACAGGGACACAGAGACCTGTAGACCAAACCAAAGAGAAACCCTCATCCCACCAAGATCACCATCCTGAATAAGTGATGCAGAAACGCTGGCTTGAGACTCAATACATTTCTTTTAACTTGGAGTTCAGAGATCTGTGCTAATGAGGAGCCTGGCTGGCTGACCTGCTGACCATACCAAACGAAGCTAAAGAAGATTTCCAGGCCAGGCGCGGTGGCTCACGCCTGTAATGCCAGCACTTTGGTGGGCCGAGGTGGGTGGATCACTTGAGGTCAGGAGTTCAAGACCAGGCTGGCTGACATAGCGAAACCCCGTCTCTACTAAAAATACAAACTATTAGCTTGGGGTGGTGCTGCATGCCTGTGGTCCCAGCTACTCGGGAGGCTGAGGCATGAGAATCGCTTGAACCCGGGAGGCGGAGGTTGCAGTGAGCCGAGATTGTGCCACTGCACTCCAGCCTGGGCAACAGAGCGAGACTCTGTCTCAAAAGAAAAAAAAAAAAAGAAAAATTCCTAGACCTGGATTTGCTCTTGAAAATGAAATAGACTTCTTCTGATTTCTGTAGGAGTGACTTTTATGGAGACGAGTCACCTTACGGCTGTCTGAGGAAAGTGCTGTGCCGATGAGGCATACTGCAGTGACAACAATAATAATTGCTAAGATACATTGATTTGAGTGTATCTTAGCAATTATTATTGAATAATTAACATTGAACACTGTACCAAGCACTGCAATAAAAACTTTATGGGTATTAACCTGTTTAGTCCTCCCAGCCATTCTAGAAGTGGTATTCTCATTATCCCTGTTTTAGAGATGAGGAAACCCAGGCTCAGGGTGGTTGAGTAACTTTCTCAAGGTTGCATGGGTGCTGAGTGTGGGAGCTAGGACTTGAACTCAAGTCTGCCTGGCTCTGAACCTGAGCTCTTAATCTCTATGTTAAACTGCTTCCATCCAATCTGCAGCTCTGACCCGGCCAGCTATCTGGCACATCTGGGCTTTTGGTCCAGGGGGATGAGGTGATAACAGCAGGGATGGCTCCGTGTAGACTCAGCACTGCAGAGGAAAGCACAGCCACCCGATGAAACAGTGGAGAGGCGGGGAGTGCAGGGCACTGCAGAGGTGGCAGGAGAAGGTGACCTGAGTCTATCCAACCTTGACATTCAGTGACTTGGCCATCTCAGATCTGTGAATGGGCCTGGCAAATGCCTATTTTGAACCTTGAGTTTGAATGGTCTAAAAAACCCTGCCAAGATGGGTAGCAAGAGGCTTTCTGGTAAACTGCTCTGAAATGGAGTGAAGACACCGATCCCCTGTGTGGCCCAGTGACTGGAGAAAGTGTGAGCCAGCGGATGAGTCAGCAGTTGGAAATAGCATGCCTGACACCAGCTGCGTTCATAGGAACATGTCACCCAAGCAACCATCCTGTCTCTGCTCACAGCACCGTGAGGCCTTCTCCAGGGGACCTGTGCGGTTTGGGTCCCCCAGGTGAGGCATGGCATGGATCTGCAGAGGAGCAGGAAAGGTACCCCTTAACTTCCAAGAGCAAGTCTGGCCCTTGTGAATTATTCAGTCATTCAGCAAACAGCAGCTGAGCCCCTACACCATGCTAGCAGTGACTCAGGCTGAGTTCACAGGCTGTGGGGGAGGGAGGCACATGAGTAATTACCATGTGATGTGCTCAGGGCTGGGGTGGGGACCTGTACCGAGTAACAGAGCTGGGGGGCAGGGTAGGGGAGCACAGTCTCAGTGACCTTGGCTAACAGTCCAGAGGAAAACCTGCAGGAAGGAAGGCTGCGGAAAACGTTCATGCTTCACTTAGAGGAACGTCTTATTCCTGACGGTCCTGGAGATGTGTGATACAGGCTGGGTCTCCCTTATCTGAAATGCTTTGAGCCAGAAGCATTTCAGATTTCAGATTTTTTTTTTTTTGGAATATTTGCATTACCCTATGGCTATCGTTTTAAGCCACATCTTTACCACACAGAGAATGAGCAAAAACTAGGTGAGTAATGCACGCAGGTCTTAGCCCCACATGAGCCATTATGGGGAACCTGTTGTTGGAGCATCCGGCCTGCACATGTGCCATTTTGCTACCCTTTGTGGGCATGCTTGAGCCGCAGGATCTGGGCATGCCCAGAAAAGAGAGTGCATCGCAGCTGAAGGAGGCTTTTTGGGGATGCTGAATAAACTGCGTGCTGTGCACCTGTGTTTTCACTACAACCTGTCACATGAAGTCAGGTGTGGAATTTTCCCCTTGTGGTGTCATGTCAGCACTTTAAAAGTTTTGGATTCGGGGCCAGGCATGGTGGCTTCACGCCTGTAATCCCAGCACTTTGGGAGGCCGAGGAGGGTGGATCACCTGAGGTCAGCAGTTCGGGACCAGCTTGGCCAACATGATAAAACTCCGTCTCTACTAAAAATACAAAAATTAGCTGGGCATGGTGGTGTGCCTGTAATCCCAGCTACTAAGGAGGCTGAGGTGGGAGAATTGCTTGAACCTGGGAGGCGGAGACTGCAGTGAGCCAAGATCATGCCACTGCACTCCAGCCTAGGCAACAGAGCGAGACCCTGTCTCAAAAAAAAAAAAAAGTTTTGGATTTTGGAGCATTTCAGATTTCAGATTTTCGGATGAGGGATGCTCAGCCTGTATTAGAAGGGGAAGCCAGCTCTGTCTGGCTCTGGAGGCTGAGGGGTGAAGACGTCCTCTCAGGCACCTTCTCAGGACCAGGGTTCTCTACTCTCTGGGGAGGACTCTGTCCTCTGGACCCTGCTAATTCTGGTTTGACCTCCTTCTCTGGCAGGTGACAGTGGCCCTATATCTGTGAATGCTTTACATGGAACACCCATACCAACCAGAGGCACCCCTGTCCTAGAGATGGGCCTCTAGGAGGGGGCAGATCAGCTCTGGACACACTTGGAAGTAGGTCCCAGCAGTGGCCTGGGCGGTCCCCGGGCCTCAGACACACAGCTTGACTCCATTCCTAGCGTTTTACTCTTCCCTCTGGAGGCCTGGAGGGTGCCTTGTGGCTGCCATGGCAACAGAGGCGGGGTGCAGGGGTAGTTCCCCATGCACACCCTGAGGTGGGCTGAGGCCTACACCAGGGTGGAAAAATCCTAGGATATCCTCCCCTTAGGCTTTTCCAGGTTAGAAGATGGGGTGGTCACAGCCCTTTCACACTTCGGCCCTTGGGTTTTCTAAGGAATTTGCTAAGGGTGCCACTGCCCTTAGCAGTGAGGATTCTTAGTAGAATCGGGGAGAAGTATCTGTCTGACCTGAGGATCATCCTTGGGCAGTAGACTTTTTTCTCCTGGTACAGCTCCCTCAGGTTGACGATCTCAAGCACCGTCACCAGGTTCACAAATGCCCGAGGAACCTGAGAAAAGGCAAACTCAGTCACCAAGAGGATGAGGCTGGGCAGCCTTTCACCTCGGTTTGGGGCCTGCTCCTCCTGCTGAAGTTTCAGATCTAGGGACTTCCATCTGCCCCCATCCACTTCCTCCACCCGTCCCTGCTCCCCCTCTATGCATTTGGGCTGGGATCCACAACAAAGGTGACCTGCCAAGGAGGTCTCAGCAGGATGCCAGAGCTTCCTCTAGGCTAGGTCTGAGGTCTAAGATGCAGGCCTCATGGCCTAGCCTCCGTACCTCAGCATGGAGGATGTCCAGGGCCTTTCCAATGTTGTCTGTGAAGTTCTGGGGAGAATAGTGGACCTGCAGGAAGAGGAAGTGTCCCTTGAACACCATTTGTCACCTAATCTCTCTACAGAACAGGGCTACTTTCTCTCTTGGGTCCCCTTCTTTTTTTTTTTTCTTTTTTTGAGATAGGATCTCACTCTGTCTCCCGGGCTGGAGTGCAGTGGTGTGATCATGGCTCACTGCAACCTTCACCTCCTGGGCTCAAGCAATCCTCCCACCTCAGCCTCCCAAGTAACTGGGACCATGGGTGCGTGCCACCACACCTGGCTAATTTTTGTATTTTTTGGTAGAGATGGGGTTTCCCCATGTTGCCCAGGCTGGTCCTGGGCTCAAGTGATCCATCCACCTCAGCCTCCCAAAGTGCTGGGATTACAGGTATGAGCCACCGCACCTGGCCAGAGTCCCCTTCTTTCTGTATTCAGTCACAGTGGGCAATATTGAAATAGTGTTTGTCTTTGGGGCCCCAGCCTGGACACCAGCCCCATGATCCTCAGGTTTGTCATGGCTGTGGCCCTCAGGGAAATGCCTATGCCTCTTTTTTTAATTTTATTTATTTATTTATTTATTTATTTATTTATTTATTTATTTATTTATTTTTTTGCGTGGAGCTCTGGATCTACTCCATATCCACTAACTGTAGAGCCAAAGCATCACATCTCCAGGCCCCTCTAACATGGGGATGTCCGAGCAGATGACTCTAAGATCTCCTGCAATCTGAGCAGCCTCTGTCCTATGGCCCGATCTCTTTTTCTTGGAGCCTCAGTGTCTGGGGCTACTGAGCACACCCTACATGTATGAAAGCACACCCTACATAAATCAAGGCAATAATGGGAGGGGAAGAGGGGAAGAGCGTCCTGTGAAACACCGGCCACACCAAGCCTAAACACATTTTAACTGTTTCTCCTGATCTCGATATTTGCGGTTTTAAAGCTTTCTCAGCAGTGGAACTCTTTCTCTGATTGAAATCTAACCAAAAGCCCTGCTGTATGGAACATATGAAAGCTGTGTCACTTAACATGAGCAGGGGAGGGGCCCAGGGTCCCACCTCCCCACGGGCTACCAGCAGCCCCAAGGCTCCCCTCTGGGCCCTTCAGATCACAGCTTGAAAACTCCTGACTCCTGGTGACTTTGATGCCAAGAAAGTGGGTTGTGAGGGGCCTGGGGGCTGGGGCATCCCTCCAGGTAGGTGCTCACAGGCCAGAGCAAGGCCACTACTTCCTAAACCTCACTCTGCTGGTCCCCTTTCTGTCTGACAAACCTCCTCATCTTCAAGCCTGAGCTGGAAAGTCTCCTGCTCTGTGTAAATCTCTCCAACAACCCCCTTTCCCACACACCAGGGTCCCACAGCAACTTTGCTTTTTTTTTTTTTGAGATGGAGTCTCGCTTTGTCACCCAGGCTGGAGTGCAGTGGCATGATCTCAGCTCACTGCAACCTCTGCCACCTGGGTTCAAGCGATTCTTCCGCCTCAGCCTCCCAAGTAGCTGGGACTACAAGCACTTGCCATCACAACCAGCTAATTTTTGTATTTTTGTAGAGACAGGGTTTCACCATGTTGGCCAGGCTGATCTTGAACTCCTGACCTCAGGTAATCTGCCTGCCTCGGCCTCCCGAAGTGCTGGGATTACAGGTGTGAGCCACCACACCCAGCCAACTTTGCTTTTAGACCTCTCTTCTGTGTGTATCCCTACAACAACATCCTGATGTCTGCTTTGTGCTGTGATGAACTGCCTGTCTCTCTCTCCGCTGGCAGTGCAAGTTCCTGAGGACAGGGCCTGTGTTTCCTTCACCACTGCCTTGCTCCTAGTACATTCCTGGCATAGGCGTGGGTGGGAGACTAGTGGGTATGCCCTGTCAGGCTTCTATCAGCTCAGAGACTGAGGTTCCAGGAGGACACGCAGCATCCATGGAGCAGCAGCCTTGATCTTGGGTTTCCCACCAGCCCAGAATGACTTGGCTCTGAAGCTTGCCCAAATGCCTGCAGGAAATCGACCTTCCCATACAAGTGACAGCACAAAGGTGGAAAGGGCAAGGCTGCTGGAGACTGGGGAAGGGAGCTAACCTGTGACTCTCTGTGAACATGGGAAAGATTTTTCTAGTCATTGGGTGTTATCTTGCTTTCTAGAATGATATGATCAAGCTCCCTTGATAGGAAACTTAATCAGGATCAATCTTATAACTAATCCTGCTTGCCCAGCTGAATGGTTCCCTGGAGGTGAATGCCTTCTCAGTCTCAGGGTTCATCCCAGGCTGGATCCAAGACAAACCATGAGCCTGAGTCCCAACTTAGCTGTACTCCTCCCGGGCAGAGCAAGTGACCGGGCTGTGAAAATCCTTCTCTGGGGGTGAGTCTTGAGTAAAGTGCCTGGAGACCTACCAGATCATTGCAGAAATCACAGAGGTCATTGCCGCCTATAAACAGGGTTATTATCTTCCAGTCTTCCTGAAAGTGTATCCTCTGAAATGAATAGAAACACAGAAGTAAGCACCTTGTCCCAGAGTCAAGTCAAGGAAAACACAAAATGCTTGCAAACTAGAAAAGATGGGTCCTCACACACCAGAGTGTCTCATGGACTTCTGAATTTTCTGTTCCTTGCTTTTAGGGTCCTGAGATCATAGGTGCTAAATGGTTCATTTATTTTAGGTGGAATCACTGAACTTGCATGTGGCTCTGTCCACACACAAAAGCACACACGTCAGTTTCCACGTGTCCTGGTGGGAGTGGATACAGATGCCCTCTGAGCTCTGTTCCTCCATCTCCAGCATAGCAAGGAAGTGGGGAAGGGATAAGGAAGCTGGTTTTGGCCATGGGAAAGGAATGTTTGTTCCAGAATCTTCTAGAAATCCTGAATTCTAATTGTGCCTTAAGGGAGAAAGACCATCTTTCATTAAGAGGGAGCTCTCCAAATTTGGAATACTCACACTGGTGACTAGTTCTGCCCATGAACTAGTCAAGCCAGAGAGGCTGAGTAGGGTAAGGTGGCAGCTCTAAGCACAAGCTCTGAAAAGATTTTGCCACCTCTGGGATCTGTCTCCTCCAAAGAGGACCTGGAAAAGCATATGAAGTCACAGGGCTGTGTGGAGAGGGTGCAGCCATACACATTCCATAAACTATGGCCCCAGGGCAGCCACGGCCCTGCAAGCCTCTTATATTGCCCCAGGCCTACATAGCTTTGCTTCCCTGATCTACACTTCCAAAAGAGCGTGGAAGGAGGAAGGTGAGAACAAGATCCAGGAAAGTTTGACATTAAGGGTAGAAATACCCTGAGAACCTCCCAATAATAGACTTTGATGTACATTAAATTATATATAACATAACTCATCCTAATCTTCCTTTTTATTTTACCCACCTAGAAACCCCTGCAAAAAGCCTCTGAATTGAGACCGTGCTTTCATTTGAGGGAGAGCTGCATATTCATCTTTCAGAACCCGGCTCAAACATCTCCTCTACTTTTATTTTTTGGTACTGCTCCTTGCAGACCAGGGCTCTCCCGTAGGCCATGTGCCCAGAATAACAGCCAAAATCTCCTTTTCAAGCCTTCCCTGACTGTCCTAAGCAGAGGCGCCGGTCCCTTCTGCACCCCACCGTGTCTTATACAGAGCCCTTTCGGTGGAGCACGTGGCAACTGTTTTATAATTTGATTCTTCACATTGGTCTCCGCTTCCAAGCTCCTTGAGGACAGGACTGTGTTGTATTCTTTTGTGCATCTGCAGCCCCAGCCTGATGCCTGACTCACAGTAGATGTTTAATTTCAACAGCCAACTGACTGAACAAATAGGAATCCCCTTTCCAGAGAAGCAGTGTTTTAGGCTTCAGATGTGTCTGCTAGAAACCCAAGCCGGGCTCCCAACCATCCCTCAATCCACAGCTGATCTTCTCTGTGTCCAGGGATTTTTCCTGCCTACTTCCCATCCCAGGGACCCACCGTGTCATTCTTCATCAGGTCCACCAGCCTCCTGGCCTGGACAGGTAGATCCCTGTGGAAACATACCAGAGGAAGTGCTGTGAGGAGTGGGGACTGGCAGGGGCCCTTAGCAGAGAGAACAGCAATCAAATGTATGGTGGAGGAAGGCCCAGGGTGGGCCTCCTGCAGGAAAATGGACTGAAGGCCGTGTCGCAGAGCTTCTTCCCCATTCAGGCTCCACTGCGGGGGTGTGGGGTGGTGACTGTGCTTGGGAAGGCCAGAGCACTGCACGTAGGAGGGGGTGATTCTCAGTGTGACTATTTTCCTTTTTGTTTCCCCTGAGATGGAGTCTTTCTCTGTCACCCAGGCTGAAGTGCAGCGGCACGATCTCAGCTTACTGCAACCCTGCCTCCTGGGTTCAAGCAATTCTCCTGATTCAGCCTCCCAAGTAGCTGAGATTATAGCTGTGTGTCACCACACCCAGTTAATTTTTGTATTTTTAGTAGAGATGGGGTTTCACCATGTTGGCCAGGCTGGTCTCAAACTCCTGACCTCACGATCCATCTGCCTCGGCCTCCCAAAATGCTGGGATTACAGGCGTGAGCCACCGCGCCCGGCCGGTGTGACTATTTTCTGATTGGCATATTTGATGGTGTACTTTTCTTTTCCTTCCAAGCCAGGCTTGTTCAGGGCAAACAGAAGTTTTGCCTGTAAGTATTTCACATCATGCACATGTCATGGCACCACCCATTTTGGCAGGTGCCATGGCCTAAGCCCTCCTACCCTTAAGATGATGTAGTCTAGTAAAATGCACCTGGGTTGGACACTTAGGTGCCTTTTGCTAACAGTGTGAAAGTGACTTAAATTCTCAGTTCAAAAAGACTACAAAATGGAGACAAGATCACTGATCTTGGAGGGTCACTGGGACCAGTAGATGGGAACCACTGCTGGTGCCAGACAGCCAGGGTTTGAATCCTGGTTCCACAAATGACCAGCTCTGAGACCTTGGCCGACTACTTGATCCTGCAAATCCTCAGTTTTTCCCTTTGGGAAATGAGCATGGTAACATACCTTCTTCACAGAGTTGTTGGGGAAATTAAATGAGGTGCCATATAAAGAACTTACAACAGTGCTTGGCACGTAGTATGCAACCACTGAATTATTTCTGCCATCATTACCACCATCATCATTGACAAAGTCCCTGGCACAGGGCTTAGCAGGAAACATTAGTGGTCATCCTCTTCCCCTCTTATCTATTAGCCCTACTGGCCTGATGTGAGTCATAGTACACTAGGTATTCGATTACCTGGATGGGAACTTCGGGTAAGTCACTTAACCTTTTTGAGGCTTGATTTCCTCATCTGTAAATCTGAAGTTATCAGAGCAGCTGCTCTGTCGATGGAACAGAGTTTGAGGATGATTACTCAACTACTCTGAAACTCTTTTTTTTGAGACTGAGTCTCGTGCTATCGCCCAGGTTGTAGTGCAATGGCGTGATCTCAGTTCACTGCAACCTCCACCTCCCAGGTTCAAGCAATTCTCGTGCCTCAGCCTCCCAAATAACTGGAATTACAGGCACCCGCCACCACACCCGGCTAATTGTTGTATTTTTAGTAGAGACGGGATTTCACCATGTTGGCCAGACTGATCTCGAACTCCTGACCTCAAGTAATCCACCCACCTCGGCCTCCCAAAGTGCTGGGATTACAGACGTGAGCCACTGTGCCTGGCTGAAGCTCAGTTTTATCATTGGTAAAACATGGGAGTCTGACGTTTTGCTCTGTTCATCTCATGGTTATTGTGCAGACTACAGGGATGATAAACGTGAGGGTGCCTTGTAAATGGTGCACTGCTGTATCTGCATGACAGCTATTGTCAGACCTGGAATAAAGCCTGCAGGGCACAAGGCTGGACTATGTGGTCAAGTCGATGCATTTGTTCAGGCCATGTGGCCTCTTTGTGCTATAGTTTCTTCGATTGTAATACGGGAATAATAACCCCCAACTTTTCCCTGCCACCCAGGATGTGCTTGGATTGCTTGCATGAAAGAGCCCCAAGGCCTCTGGAAATGCAAGGATAGAAACCCAGGGCCATATGAATCACACTCATTTTGGTTACTTTTACACTCTTGACTCTAAGGTTTCATTCTTGGATGCCTCCCTGACCTAATCATGCTTACAACTGTCTTTCCTCTTATACTACCAGCCCACATATGCTTGGAAAAAGCAAGATTATGGTACTATTAAAGCAGTAAACCTGCAGCCTTTTAATCCTATCCCCATCAAAAGGAAAAGAAAGCCTCAGAATTCATCATAAAACATATTGGGCCTGCTGGGCACAGTGGCTCACACCTGTAATCCCAGCACTTTGGGAGGCCGAGGTGGGCAGATCATGAGGTCAGGAGATCGAGACCAACCTGGCTAACACGGTGAAACGCTGTCTCTACTAAAAATACAGAAAATGCACTCATAGTCCCAGCTACTCAGGAGGGTGAGGCAGGAGAATCGCTTGAACCTGGGAGGCGGAGGTTGCAGGGAGTGGAGATCGCGCCACTGCACTCCAGCCTGGGCAACAGAGTGAGACTCTGTCTCAAACAAACAAACAAAGTCTATTGGGGTCTGTGTTAGCCATTACTTTGGATACTCTTTCACCTTTCCCACTGGCAATGAATAAGAAAGCTACTTAGGTGGCTCATGGTCTCAGGATGGTGCTGAGAGCTGGAAGGATGTCAGGAAATCTAGGAACCAAACCACATGAGTCCTAGGAACCACATGGTAGTGTGATGTTTGTGATTAAAAATAGGATCTAAAAAATCCAAATAATCCCATCAAAAAGTGGGCAAAAGACATGAATGGTCAATTCTAAAAAGAAGATATACAACCAGCCAACAAACATTAAAAAATGCTCAACATAAACAAAAGTGTCAGGGAAATGCAAATTAAAACAATGAGATATCACTTTACTCCTGCAAGAACAGCCATAATTAAAAAGTCAAAAAAATAATAGGTGTTGGCCTGGATATGGTGAAAGGGAACACTTTTACACTGCTGGTGGGAATGTAAACTAGTACAACCGCCATGGAAAACAGTGTGGAGATTCCTTAAAGACTGAAAGTAGAACCACCATTCGATCCAGCCATCCCACTTCTGGGTATCTACTCAAAGGAAAATAAGTCATTACATGAAAAAGACACATGCACATGCATGTTTACTGCAGCACAATTTGCAATTGCAAAGATATGGAACCAACCTAAGTGCTCATCAACCAACAAGCGGATAAAAAAATGTGGTATATATACACCATGGAATACTACTCAGCCATAAAAAGGAATGAAATAATGTCATTTGCAGCAACTTGGATGGAGCTGGAAGCCATTATTCTAAGTGAAGTAACTCAGGAATGGAAAATCACATATTGTATGTTCTCACTTATAAGTGGGAGAGCAAAGCTATGAGGACGCAAAGGCATAAGAATGATATAATGGGCCAGGCATGGTGGCTCATGCCTGTAATCCCAGCACTTTGGGAGGCCCAGGCAGGCAGATTACTTGAGGTCAGGAGTTCAAGACCAGCCTGGCCAACATGGTGAAACCCTGTCTCTACCAAAAAAAAAAAAAAAAAAAAAAAAAAATTAGCCGGGAATGGTGATGTGTGCCTGTGATCCCAGCTACTTGGGAGGCTGAGATGGGAGAATCCCTTGAACCTGGGAGGTGGAGGTTGCAGTGAGCTGAGATCACACTACTGTACTCCAGCCTGGGCAACAGAGCAAGACCCTGTCTCAAAAAAAAAAAAAAAAGAATGATATAATGGACTTTGGGGACTCAGAGAGGAAGGGTGGGGGGGGTGAGGGATTAAAGATTACATATTGAGTACAGTGTACACTGCTCAGGTGACAGGTACACCAAAATCTCAGAAATCACCACTAAACAACTTACTCATGTAACCAAAAACTACCTGTACCCCAAAAAGTGTTGAAATAAAAATTAAAAATAAATACAAATAGTATAAGAAAGAAAGGATCATCCAGTTTTATTTTTCCTTGATTAGGTATGGCATTCACTTGCTCTCTGCCCAGGCAGCAAACCTCAAGCAGCACTCAAGGCCCTGGAATCTTGGAATGCAGTGAAGGGATGGGACCTAGGAAAGCTGACCTGCCCACTCTTGGGGACCGGCCTGGCCGTGCCCAGGGACCATGACAGTGATGGCCGTGCTCACTGATGTTTCCCCCGAGGTGGGCCTGCCACCTTGCTGCATTACTGCCAGGACCACCATTTTGACCAACGTGTGTCACGTGTACACTATTTACAGCTCACCAGAACTTTCGTATCCAATATGGCATTTGAGCTTCATGACTGCCCTGTGGGAGAGGTTCCTAACCAGCCCCACCTCGTAGAGTCTGAGGCTTAGAGAGGCCAGGGAGGAAACCGGGCTCGTACTCAGGGCCTCCCCTCCCAGGGCTGGTACTCTTCCCAGGACACTGGAAGGATGCAGAGTTTAAAGCCCAAAAGGCACAGCTGAGGAAGGGAGGGAGAGCAGGACTCTGAAACAGCAGTGACATAGCAGTGACAACTGGGACGCAGAGTGAGCCTGCTTATAACCTATGTCTTAAGTGAGATTTACAGACAGGCAAAGTAATCTGCTCAGAGCATATGCCTGGCATCAGAGTCCATTGTGACTAGTTTCTGGGGGTGGGTGTTAGGGTAGGCTCACAGATTTCTGTGACACCTCCAAGAGAGCTCTGTCCAGGCTTTGGCCCCGAAACCCTTTCCTCTGACAAAGCCCTTCAACCTTCAGCCATAAACCCAGTTTAGGCCAAGCCCACCCCTGGTCCTCAGAGGACCTGTGCTGTTCACCGCCCCGGTCACCCCTGCTTACTCAGCTCGGCCTCCTGCCACAGCCTGGTTTAAGAAGGCATTAGGACTGGTTTCTTTCCCAGTGCCAACAGAGAAGCCCTTCAGGGAAGGGTTGAATTCCCGGAGGATGTCTGCAAATACAAGGAAAAGACACGCTTAGTGACTACTGCAAAGCAATCTTCAAATTCCTTTGATAAGCACCAGTGGGTGTTAGGGAACAGAGTCCCCACTCCGCAGCCCCTACTCTTACCCCAACCTTCACTCAGCATGGGAAGAAAATGTTCAGCAGGATGGCGCTTAACGACAGGGCAGCACACGACAGATGTTTCAATTATTGTTGAAGAAATGTGAGTCTGGGTTACAGGCTTTTTTCATGTATTTTTCTTTTTTTCTAACTATATACTAGCTTTACTGAGATATAATTCACTTACCATAAAATTTACCAATTGAAAGTATACAGTTCAATAACTTCTAGCACATTCACACAGTTGTACAATCATCACCACGTAATCAACTTTAGAATATTTTCATCACCCCAGAAAGAAACCTAGTACCCACTAGCAGTCACTCCCCATTCCCTGCAACCTTGTGGCAATCGTGGATCTACTCTGTCTCTGTAGTCTTGCTTATTCAGGCCATTTCATATGAATGAAATCACATACCCCAACATACCTTTTGTGACTGGCCTCTTTCCCTTAGCGTACGGTTTTCAACATTCACCCATGTTGTAGCATGCAACTGTACTGCATTCGTTTTTATTGCTGAATGATATTCCACTGGATGGATATACCACATTTTATTTATCCATTCTTCAGTTGATGGGGCTTTGGAGTTACTTCCACATTTTGGGTATTATGAAAAATGCTGCTATGAACATTTGTGTACAAGTTTTTGTGTGGATTTCCCTTGGATATGTATCTAAGAGTGGAAAAGGTTAAACTCTGTTTAACTCTAACCCTCACCCTGTTTAACCTTTTGAGGAACTGCCAGGACTTTTCCCAAAGCAGGTGCACCATTTTTACATTCCCACCAGCAGTTTACAAGGGCTTCAATTCTTCCACATCCTTGTCAACACTTATTATGTCTTCCTATTATAACCATGCTAGTGGATGTGACTTGGTATCTCATGGTGGTTTTGATTTCCACTGATGGCTACTGATGTTGAGCATATTTTCAAGTGCTTACTAGTCATTTGCATATCTTCTGTGGAAAAATGTCTATTCAGATCCTTTGCCCGATTTTAACTGGGTTATCTTTTTGAGTTCTAAGAGTTCTTTATAATTTCTAGACGTAAGTTTCTTATTAGATATAGGATTGGCAAGTGTTTTCTTCCACTCTTTGGGCTGTCTTTACTTTCTTTGATATATGATATGACATCCTTTGAAGCGCAAAATATCGATTTTTTTTTCTTTTGTCACTTGTCTTAGTGGCATATCTAAGAAGACTTTGTTTAGCTCAAGATCATAAAGATTTGCTCCTGTATTTTCTTCCTAGAGTTAGTTTTAGCTCTTACATTTAGGTCTATGATTCATTTTGAGTGAATTTTTGTATAAAGTGTGAGGTAGGAGTTCAACCTCATTTTTCTGTGTGTAACTATCTAGTTGTCTCAGCACAGTTTATTGAAAAGACGATTCTTTCCCCCATTGGTTTTGGCATCCTTGCTGAAAATGAGTTAACCATGAATATGAGAGTTTAATTTCTGACTCTCAATCTTAGTCCACTGTTCGATATGTCTATCCTCATGCTAGTACCACGTCTTGATTACTATAGCTTTATAGTAACTTTTGAAATTGGTAAGTATGAATCCTCTGAATTTGTTCTTTTCTAGATTTCTTGGGATATTCTGGGTCCCTTGAATTTCCACATGAATTTTAGGGTCAGCTTGCAAATTTCTGCAAAGGAGCTAGCTGGAATTTTGATAGGGATCACATTGAATCCGTAGATTGATGTGGGGAGTATTATGAAGAATATTAAATCTTCTAATCCATGAGTGTCAGATGTTTTTCTACTTATTTAGGTCTTTAATTTCTTACAGCAATGTTTTGTGATCTTAAAAGCGATGCCCTTTTTTGGTTAAATTTGGTTAAATTTATTCATTATTTTTGATGCTATTGTAAATGGAATTAATTTCATTTTCATATTAATTGCTAGTATAAAGAATTATAATTGATTTTTGTATATTGATTTGTACCTTGCAATCACTGAACTCATTAGCTCTAATAATTTTTAGTGGATTTCTTGGGATTGTCTCTATATAATATCATCTCATCTTTAAATAGAAGTGGTTTTATTTCTTTATTTCCAATCTTGGTACTTGTTCTTTCATTTTCTTGCCTAACTGCCATGGGCAGTGTGATGTTGAATAAAAGTGGCAAGAGCATGCATCCTTGTCTTACTCCTGATATCAGAGAGAGGGGGCAGCATTCCATCTGTCACCATTGCCTATGGTGTCAGCTGTGGGCTCTTAAAAGATACCCTTTATCAGAATGAGGAATTTTCCTTCTATCCCTAATTTGTTCAGTATTTTTTTACTTTATTTATTTAGAGACAGTCTTACTCTGTCACTCAGGCTGGAGTGAAGTGGCGCAATATCAGCTCACTGCAACCTCTGCCTCCCAGGCTCAAGCTATTCTTATGCCTCAGCCTCCCATGCAGCTGGGATTACAGGCACCCGCCACCACACCCAACTAATTTTTGTGTTTTTAGTGGAGACAGGGTTTCACAATGTTGGCCAGGCTAGTCTCTAACTCCTGACTTCAAGCGATCCACCTACCTAGGCCTCCCAAAGTGCTGGTAGTACAGGCGTGAGCCACTGCGCCCGGCCTTTGTTGAGTGTTTCTATCATTAAGTGGTGTTACATTTTTGTTAAATGCTTTTTCTGATCCATTGAGATGATCATGATGTGTGGTTTTGGTCTTTTATCCTATTGACATAGAATATTACATTAATTGATTTTGAGGTTGAAAACTAACCTTGTATTCCTGGGCTAATTCCACTTAGTCATGAGGTATACTTTTTTTTTCATATTGCTGGATTTTGTTTGCTAGTATTTTGTGTAGGATTTCTGGGTCTACATTCATAATACTTACTGGTCATACTTTTCTTCCCTTGTGATGTCTTTGTCTTATTTTGCTATCAGGGTAAAACTCATAGAATGAGTTGTGAAGCATTCCTTCCTCTTCTGTTTTTGGGAGGAATTTGTGAAGAACTAGTAATTGATACTAATGTTTGATAGAATTCACCAGCGAAGTCAGAGACAGTCTGGGCTTTTTTTGGTGGGAAGTTTTAAAATTATTAATTCAATCTCTTTGCTTGTTATAAATCTATTCAGATTTTCTTTTTTCTTTCTTTTTTTTTTTTTTGAGATGGAGTCTCGCTCTGTTGCCCAGGCTGGAGTGCAATGGCGTGATCTCGGCTCACTGCAAGCTCTGCCTCCAGGGTTCATGCCATTCTCCTGCCTCAGCCTCCCAAGTAGCTGGGACTACAGGCGCCCACCACCACACCTAGCTATTTTTTTATATTTTTAGTAGAGACGGGGTTTCACCGTGTTAGCTAGGATGGTCTCGATCTCCTGGACCTCGTGATCCGCCTGCCTCGGCCTCCCAAAGTGCTGGGATTACAGGCGTGAGCCACCACGCCTGGCCTCAGATTTTCTACTTTTTATGGATTCAATTTCAGTAGTTTGTGCCTTTCTAGGAATTTGTCCATTTCATCCAAGTTATCTGATTTATTGGCATACAATTTGTTCATGGTATTCTCTAATAATCCTTTTTATTTCTGTAAGGTTGGTAGTATCTCCTCTTTCATTCTTGATTTTCATTTCCCCTCCCTTTTGTCAGTCTAAAGTTTTGTCAGTTTTGTTGAACTTTGCAATCTCATGCATTCTAATTGCCTTTACTAATATGGATCCACACTTTTCACTTTTTCATCTTTCCAACTTGGCTGAGCCATCCTGAGAGCAGGGTCTATATATACCCCAGGGCCTCATATAATGCTCAATACATGATTATGGACTGAATTAGAAATAAAACAAAGTTCAGACAAGCTTGGAGATTTGTTCAAAGACATGTAGGTGCTGAGAATGGCTAGTATCTCAGCTCCAACACAAGGACACTTGCCCCCGCTGTCTCACAATCTGCTAGGATGTGAGAAAGAAACTGGCCGGGTAGCAGCCAGGACTTTAGGGCCCCATTCAGCAGAGTGCCTGCTAGAACCCAGCACTGCTGCAGGTTTACTCAGCACAGATGGACTGGACTCATTCCTTGAGGTTTGGGGATATTACACTAATAAATGGAAATTGCTCCGATTTCTATTCAAGAGAAAAAAGGACTGTGAAATCACCTGAGCGATTTGAAAGTGGAATGGTTTGTCCTAGGAGGTGGCAGCTTCCCTAGGAGGTAGAAGGAACTCAGCACAGTCTACCCAGCTACTTAGCAAGAATATCATAGGGAGGAACCACACATTGGATAGGGCAACGACTTGCTGGTGCAGGCAGTTCTCTCTGCCAGGAACATTCTCTCCCCTTTCCTTACCTGACGAATTCTAATTCTTGACGCTCCTTTTCAGAAGACAGGGTTAACAGCCTCTATGTTTATTTTCCCCTAAGCTTTGTACACATCTATAAATATTAGTCATGTGTCTGTCTTTAGGAAGACATGCTGCCAAAGACACTTTGGTGATGTCATCGGAGCACTGTTCTCCTATTTTCCAAGCACTCAGCACTGGAATATTTGCTGGATTAAATTGAACAGGGGGTTGAACGGGGATTCTGTTCTGCCCTTACATTCTTATGAGTTTTCTAACACGTTTCCATATAGTTACTTCCCCCTGGATTATCTAGCCCCTATAATCAAATAGTCTTCACATCTCTAGCAAGAAGAGTCTAAATAGCGGATAATCCATTTCTGGGCTAAGTGTGTCAGGGGAGTCATCCACCTGTGGGGTAACATTGTCTCAATCCTTTGTAAATTACTTTGGTGAAAGAGGTGAAGCCAAATATTATCCAATTATCTTGTCCATAATACGAGCATGGGAAGTAAAGAGCCCAGAAAGCTATTGCATACATTGGGCCATCCCACAGCCAAGTTCATCACACTCACAAAAGCACCCTGAACCATCTCCTAGCAATAGAGGAACTGATTTATAGCTCATGTGTGTAGACCTAGATATAAAGAAGGCAGGGAGTGCTTGTGGCACAGAACCCTGTCTACCTAAATTCGACAGGATTTACAAATAACCAAAACAGATAAAGTGAAGTCTGCTCAGCTCTGCTCTGCCTATGTGGAGATTAAGCTATGATGTCCCCCTCATCCAAATCTTGGTGGCTTCAAGTTGTTAGCTTCTAAATATATATTACAAAGGGCTATGTACCAGGAAAGTAAATGAAAATGGGACCAGTTAAATTCCTCCCAGGCAAAATTATCAGCCAGAAGATTCCAGGGGAAGAATTCAATTTAAATATGTATCGCTTGCATACTTTAAGAACAAGCAGGGAGATGTGTACGCACTGGCGAGAATTTTAAAAAGATAAGATCAGACCCTTCAAGGAATATAATCAGACTTTAAAAAATCATTCCGCCTGTAATCCCAGCACTTTGGGAGGCCAAGGCGGGCAGATCACGAAGTCAGGAAATCGAGACCATCCTGGCCAACATGGTGAAACCCTGTCTCTATTAAAAATACAAAAATTAGCTGGGTGTGGTGGCGGGGGCCTGTAGTCCCAGCTACTCGGGAGGCTGAGGCAGGAGAATCGCTTGAACCAGGGAGGCGGAGGTTGCAATGAGCTGAGATGGCGCCACTCTGCACTCCAGCCTGGCAACAGAGTGAGACTCCATCTCAAAAAAAAAAAAAAAAAAAAAGAGAAAGAAATCATTCCGAGCAGGTTGATGGAAAGTAAATTAAGGAAAGTGCTGAGTCCCAAAATGGCTGTGTCTGCACAGCCTGCACAAGATAACTTCATCTCCTCCTGCGGCAATAGCAGCGGTTCCTACAGCAACCCCGCAATTCAATATCTGTGCGCAGCTGTGCCTGCGCCCCAGGTGCCTGGATCGATGCCTCTCGCGGGGGTGATCTGCTGGGAAAGGCAGGCGCCGCACAACCGGGTTTCTTTTTCTTTTTTCTTGAATCACTTTTCTTTATTCTCTCTAATCTCATGCCAGATTATTGAATCACTTTTTAATGACTTGCCCTAAGAGGTGATCTTTTTCCCCGCTTTACTTTCTTCCTCCTTTGGTCAAACACAATTTCTTTTTGACACCTCCCCGCCCCCGGCCCCCAAGCCCCGAACCTCGTTCCACCCCCAACTCTAAGGCTTTCGTCACTGTCGGAAGCGGAGCTGGGCGGCAGTCTCGGGAGGCAGCGCCCCCTGGTGAATTTAGCGGGCTCCTGCAGCCGGGGCTCCTCCCGAGGCCCGCGCCACCTGCAGGGGGAGCGGGAAGCGTGCAGGGGCCGCCCCAAACCAAACATCCCGGCCGCCGCCGCGTACTCACTCGCCAGGGTGGTAACGGTGCCGATGTTCTCATCTCCGCCGACGCTGTAACGTGGGTCCAAGAAAGAAAATGAAGGGTTAAAATCCCAGCCACGCCGAGACCCTTCAGACACTAGCCAGAAACGCCCGTCTCCCGAGAAACAGCCCGGGGGCCTGGAGCTTGCACTTTCCCCATCACTTCAGTAGAAAAACGGAAAAAGCAAACCAGAATACGACTCCCCTCCCCATAGGCCAGCACATCCAAACAAAACGCCAGCTTTAAACCAGCGGCTGATTTTCGCTGATGTTGGGGAAGGGGAGGTAGGTTGGTTCCTTGCACCCCTGCTTTCAAAGGGGAAGTAGTCCCTCGTCTGCCAGCCCCTTTCCAACTAGCCACTGCAGCGTGCATTAATATTATTGGCCCTATTTTTTTCTCTCTTCTCTTCCTGCTTGGCTTGGAAAAGCCGTTTTTAAAAGGTGTCTTCTAGAGAGTCAGCCATCTTCCAAGCCAATAATAAAATTCCAAGGTGATCAAAGTTAGAAGGGTTTCTAGGCATGCAAATATGCAGCATTCCAGAGTGGATTGGATTCCCTGCTTTTCCACACCCCCCCACCCCATTCTGTGCCAAGGGTGTCTAGGAGCATCTAAAAGGTTCCCCAAATGTTTGGGTTTAACTGTGTTGCAACGTGAGGAAGGATGCCAGAGACTCGGCACTCAGGTTAAAGCAGGTGTCAGATAGAGATGCCAGATTCCAGGTGAGGAAACACCAAACCTGCCCGGGCTTGCAGCAGAGGTTTGATCACATACAGAGCAGAAATAAGCCTGCCCAAAGTGATACAGGATAAGGGAATGCACTGGTGGGGGCCAGGAAGCATCTGCTCTGCTTCCTGATCTTTTATCTTCTGGCTCTGTGATCTTGGTCAGGTTACTTGCCCTCTCTGAGCCTTGTTTCCTCATCTGCAAAATAAAGGCCCTATAATAACAATGCCAACTACCAGATACTTAGTGTCAAGCACTGTGCTGGACACCTAAATTCTTTCTAGCCCTCAGACAGTGCTCAGGTAGTAGCATTATTTCTGCATCAGAGATGAGGAGAGAAGCTCAGAGAGGTTAGGGAACTTGCCCAAGGTTACATCCAACTGGGCAGCTAGGGCTCAGCTACAACTCTGGTTCCAAAGGCAATGATCTGTGCATCACTCAGGCCACTGCCTCCTTCTGAGATTATATCACAGAGGGAGAAATGGAAGCCAGAGAAGCATTTCCAGCCCAAACATTTATGTAGTTTCTCTCCTGGATTCCTGGCTCAAGGCTCAGCTACTGTTTTGGGCAATGTAGTGGTTTGAGGAGGCTGGTGAATACCTTTTTCAAATTAAACCTAGAAGTTGGTCATAGAAAAGAACAAAATGGCCCACCCTTCTGCTTAAGGCGTTGTTTTCTAGAACACTCAGGGGGCTTCCCTTGCTCTGCAATGAAGGGGCCTTTGGGGCCTTGCCACACCCTCACTCACCTCCAGGACAGGCCTCGGTACTGAGTCAAGACGTCCAAGACGTTCCCAGGTGTGGACCCGGCCCCATTGCCTGCCTGAGAGGGAACAATGAGGGGGTGAGTTTCTCTGCTTTCCCCAGTGGCCCACCTCTGCCTACCTGCCAAAAGGTCTATGTTCTTATGCTGGCCAGGACCACCTGGGCACTCTCTGGGATCTAGGGTCTAGATGGCACCATGTCTCCATATGTATCCTGCCTTTTCAGAGATGAGTGAGAGTGCCCACTGGGAATGCCTGGTGCTACTCCCAGCTCTGCTTCATTCTAAGAAACCCTGCCTAGGCCAAGACCAAGTAAAACTCGTCCAGCAAAAGTGCTCTTGAAATTAGACTGTACCTTTTCAAAAGGATACATTTCAGGGTCCTGTTTTTCTCATTTTTTTAAAGTTGTGAAGTATATCATAAAAGGAAATACATCATTATCCTTTTATACCAATATATCTCACCTATGCAGTTTAAAATGTAGTAATAAAATGAAATCCCACGTAGCCGTCATCAGCTGAAGAAAGCACAATGTGGACACTCTCCAGGTGCGTGTCCCTTGCCTAAAGCACTTTGCTTCTGAGCATTTTGAAGGGCATGCTGAGACTGGCCTCCCAGGCAGTTGGGGGTGAAGGCTGGCCTCCATGAGAGGCCCCCCAGGTGTGATCCCTGCTCTCTGGTGCCCAGTTCCTTTGCTACCTGCCAGGCAGGTTCACACCCAAAGTGCTGCCTCCCTAGGAACCCCTGAGCAGCTGTGCCGAGATGTGATGACCCCTTGTCCTGAGAGTATCTTCAAGGAGACCAGGGAATTGGGAGCAGGTGATGTCAGGCCCCGCCGGGCAGGAAGAGGTTGGGATAAGCAGTGTATGAAGCTGCTAAGGCCCAGCCTGCCAGTCCTTCCTGGGAGGTTATGAGCAGTCAGGTCTTTGGGGTAAAGAGTGGCTGAGGGGCCACGGAGGAGGCTGCCACAGCATAGGGATAGGGCCCTGGACTTAGGGTCAGGATCCCTGATTTGTGATCCTGGCTCGAGCACTTACAAGCTGTGTGACCTTAGGCACTTCACCTTGCCCAGCTTCATTCACCTTCTTATTGATTTAGAGACAGGGCCTTGCTCTGTTGTCCAGCCTGGAGTGCAGTTGCACCATTGTGGCTCATTGCAGCCTCGAAATCCTGAGCTCAAGTGATCTTCCAGCCCCAGCCTTTCAAGTAGCTGGGACTATAGGCATGTGTCACCATGCTTAATTTTTTTTCTTTTCTTTTTTGTAGAGATTGGGTCTTGCTACATTGCCCAGGCTCACCTTGACCCCCTGGCCTCAAGTGATCCTCCCACCCTGGCCTTCTAAAGTGCTGAGATTATAGATGTGAGCCACTGGGCCCAGCCTTTATTGGTTGAATCTAAAGAAAGTCATGCCTCACAGGATTTTGTCATGAAGATACATCCCACTGAGTGGATGATATCATTGTGATAGACCATAGACATGAGAGGTGTCTGCTTGTTCTTGGGGAGGATTCAGCTGGAGACCCTGTATTCTACTGGCCCAGAGAATAGCAGCTGGACTCTGATGAGAGGCTGTTGAATGGAAGCTGTGTCTAGGAACCTCTGGGACTCCCAGCCCCCAGGCTCTCAAGGGCCTGATTCTGCTTTTCATGGATAGTGCTTTGCAGGGTCTGGGATGTCACCCGGGGGCAGATGCAGAAGTGGGTTTGGAACATCTCTGGCCTATCTGCCTCTTCCACAGACTCCCGTCTTCCCACCCTCCCCCACCTCCCTGCCCCCATTAGCACTTGCCCTGTCTCATCATCTCTTCACCTCTCTTCCTGGTACCTTCCCTTAGCTTTTCTACATGGACAAAACAAAGCACTGGATCCTTGGAGGAGTTCTACACCATGGTCTGGAGATCTTGTCCAATCCTGCCCCACCGCTGACCAGCTGTGTGACTTGGGGTGGGTCACTCCTGTCACCCACACTCCCTCTGGGGTCCCTCCACTTCCTGCTCTCTCCTTCATCTCAGCATTGGGGGAGGAAGATGAGACCAGAATGGAGGTGGGAAACCATGATGGGAAGGGAATGCTGTTGAATGCCAGGGTGGGTCGGACAATGGAGAGATGGAGATCAGGACCCGAGATGGTAGCATCTAAGAGCCAGGCGTGAGACCTTCTCTCTCCATTTTCCTCTCCAGGTTCTCATATTAGTCAAAATCTTTTCCCCTCCTGCCCCTTCTGCATCAGGGTCACTTACCGTGAGAGAGTCACCCAGGGCTCCAATTACGTTGATGTCAGCCGGCTTCAGCCTATGAACTAAGAATATAAGCAGGAGTGAGTGGAAAATGGGGCTTCCAGGAAAGCACTGGACCCATCTACTCTGAAACAAAGGAACAACTTCCAGGATAACAAAGAAAAAGTCAGTTTTTACCACCAAGACACCTTGGATAAAAGATAGGAAAAACCCATCCTTGTCAATGGGCTCTGCAATGCCAGCTGTGGAGTCTGAGTGCTGGCTTCCTCTCTGGGGCACCTGGACACAGGAACAGGAAGCTGAAAGGTGGATCCTGCTTTAAGTGGGGAGCTGTGCTCGCATTTGGTGGGACCAGATGCTACAAGGCGAGTGGTGGCAGGCCCTTGGCAAGGTGATTTGGGAGGAGGGAAGAAATTGCCATGGAAATGCAACCAATACTTAATCTATTCTAGGATCTGATATTTGGGATAAAATATTACATCATCCTATAAAAATCAGTTCAGTTTCTCTAAAGTGAAAAAGGAATACTTTTATGCCACTGACTTTTTTTTTTTTTTTTTTTGAGACAGAGTCTTGCTCTGTCTCCAGGCTGGAGTGCAGTGGTGCAATCTTGGCTCACTACAACCTCCGCCTCCCAGGTTCAAGCTGTTCTCCTGCCTCAGCCTCCTGAGTAGCTGGGAATACAGGTGCACATCACCACACCTGGCTAATTTTTGTATTTTTAGTAGAGACAGGGTTTCCCCATGTTGGCCAGGATGGTCTCGATCTCCTGACCTTGTGATCCACTTGGCTTGGCCTCCCAAAGTGCTGGGATTACAGGCGAGAGCCAACGCGCCCGGCCGACTGTTTTTTAATTGAGATGAAATTCATATAACTAAAATTAACCATTTAAAGGTGAACAGTTCAGTGGCATTTAGTCTATTCACAATGTTGTGCAACTATCACCTCTATCTAGCTTTGAAACATTTTCATTACCCCAAAATGAGACCCTATAACCCATTAAGTGGTCACTCTCCATTTCTCCCTCCTCCCAGTCCTTAGTAACCAAAAACTTGCTTTCTGCCTCTATGGATTTATCTATTCTGGATATTTCATGTACATAGAATCATATAATATGTGACTTTTTATGTTTGGCTTCTTCTATTTTGCATAATGTTTTCAAGGTTCATTTGTTATAGCATGTATCAATACATTCATTTTATTTTTATCTTTTGAGACAAAGTCTCACTGTGTCACCTGGGCTGGAGTGCAGTGGCTCGTGATAATGGCTCACTGCAGCCTCGACCTCCCGGGCTCAAGTGATCCTCCCACCTCAGCCTCCTGAGTAGCTAGGATTATAGGTGTGTACCACCATGCCCAGCCAATTTTTTATTTTTTTGTAGAGAGAGCCTCCCTATGTTGCCAGGCTGGTCTCGAACTCCTGGCCTCAAGTGATGCTCCCACCTCAGCCTCCCAAAATGCTGGGATTACAGGCATGAGCTACAGAGCCCAACCACTTCATTCCTTTTTATTGTTGAATGATATTCCATTGTATGGATATACCATACTTTTGTTTATCCATTCATGCATCGATAGGCATTTGGGTTATTTCCACTTTTGGGCTATTGTGACTAGTATTGCTATAAATATCTGTGTACGAGTGTTTGTTTGAATGCCTGTTTTCAATTATTTTGGTATACACCTGAGAGTGGAATTGGTGGATTATATGGTAATCCTATGCTTATCTTTTTGAGGAAGCATCAAGCTGTTTTCCACAGCTTGACTATACATATTTTTATCTTTTGAGTTTGAGCATTCCGTGTGATGTGGCAGCTATTAACTCACAGGACAAACATGTTGAACACGAAGCAGTGGCTGGGTGCTTTGGAGACCACACAGTGATCAGAAACAGAGAATGCCCTCAAAAAGCTCACAAGCTAAGGAGAAAATGAGAAATAGCCATAGTTATTATAGTGTAAGACCGATAAACACTAAAAGAGGTGTGAAGTGATGTGAAGCTATAGAGCTGGAGGGATGATCTTCCCCTGGGGGGCCTGAGGAGGGGGTCACAGCAGGCTTCATGGAGAAGGTCGCATTTGAATTAAGCCTCAGGAATAACAGGAGGATGAGGGAGAGCGAGATCGGGTGATGGAGGGAAAAGCGTGATGGATGGATGTGGTAGGGTCGAGCTTGGATGTCTCGAAAGCCCAGCTAGTCACAGTTTGGCTTGCATGAAGCATATATGAGAGAGCAAAGAGAAAACCACCTTGGAAAGGTAGGTTAGGGCCACAGGGCCTAACCAATATCTGGTAACCAGTAATCTGCTTTCTGCCTCTATAGATTTATCTATTCTGGATATTTCATGTAAATAGAATAATATAATACGTGACTCTTTGTGTCTGGCTTCTTCTACTTTGCATAATGTTTTCAAGGTTCAATTATGTTGTAGCATCTATCAATATATTCGTTTTATTTTTATTTTTCGAGACAAGGTCTCACTCTGTCACCTAGGCTGTGGCGTGTGATCATGGCTCACTGCAGCCTCGGCCTCCTGGGCTCAAGCGATCCTCCCACCTCAGCCTCCTGAGTAGCTGGGATTATAAGCTTTTATGCCTGGCTAACAAGTTAGGAGTTTAACATAGATATTGCTATATATGTAATTACTCACATACACACACAGGTACTACATCTACCTACCCCTTTACCTTATACACATAAGAAAGTGAATCCTAGTGTATTTGGGGGACCACCCCTAGAATTTCTTAAGCCATATATAGCTTGGTCTCTCAAGTCACAAGCTCACCTCCCACTCCCCCAATTACCTCACCCCCAAGGTCACCCTGACTTGGCCATAGCTCTACCTTTGCCGATGTGCTTCTATTGTGTCTAGTGGCACAACGCTGCACTAAATTATTGAAATAGCTCTTGTGGTTTGGAAGAAGCCTAGTACAGAGTTTGTACCAAGGAGTGGCCCACCCTGGTACATTTCAGTGGTTAAGTGCTTAAGAAGGATAAACTGAAAGTTGTCTGCAGGAGGCTTTCTCAACAGCCTTCTTTGCCAAAGACAGTTTATAAAGCCTGTAGCGTGACCAGATTACAATCCCAGCACTTTGGGAGGCCGACACGGGCAGATCACCTGAGGTCAGGAGTTTCAGACCAGCCTGTCCAAAATGATGAAACCCCGTCTCTACTAAAAATACAAAAATTAGCCAGGCATGGAGGTGTGCTCTTATAGTCCCAGCTATTTGGGAGGCTGAGGCATGAGAATTGCTTGAACCTGGGAGGAGGAGGCTGCAGTGAGCCGAGATTGCGCCACTGCAATCCAGCCTGGGAGATAGAGCGAGACTCCGTCTCAAAAAAAAAAAAAAAAAAAAAAAAAAAAAGCTTTCAGGCCTGCAGTGAAACACAGGGTGAGATGATTTTGACACAGCTGGACTATATACAACCCACAGCACCCATCAACATCCAAATCATGGCTGTGGAATTGTACCTGTGCAGGAAGCCGGATTAACATTGAGTGGAAAACATACTCAAGGGACTTCCAGGTCTCCAAGGTCTCGTCTCCTTTCATGGAGACATCTTGTCTACCTTCTTTCATGCTGTCTGCAATGGGGAGAGCCACTCCCAATGAGGATTTGCTCTCATTGGAAAAGTAAAAGTTCTTGCCTCTTCCTATGAAAGGATACAAACTCACACATACATAGTTGTAAATATATGTGTGCAAAACATATAGAGCAGCGGTCCTCCAATTGAGCCTGCATCGGAATCACCTGGAGAGCCTGTGAAAACACAGATGGCTGGGCCCCACCTTCAGAATTTTTGACTCAATAGGTCTGGGGTGGGCCCAAGGATTTGCATTTCCAACAAGTTTCCAGGTAATGCTGATGCTGCCAGTCCAGTCTGGGTACCACATTTTCAGAACCACTGATAGAGACACTCGATTATCAAAGCCATTGACTGCAGTCAAGTACTGCGCTTGGACCTGAAAAACCTGGAATCAAGCCCAGGAGGCAGAGGCTGCAGTGAGCTATGATTGCACCACTGCACTCCAGCCTGGGCAACAAAGTGAGACTGTCTGTAAAAAATTAAATAAATATTTGGCTGCGTGTGATGGCTCATGCCTATAATCCCAGCACTTAGGGAGGCCAAGTTGGGAGGATCACTTGAGCCCAGAAGTTCGAGACCAGCCTGGGCAATATAGTGAGACTCCTTCAATAAAAAAGAAAAAAAAGACTAGAGTTGTTTCTCCTGTGTGTATGTATAAATTGTCTTGTGGCCCTCACAACTGTAGCTGCCACTGCACAGCCTGATGACAACTCTGCCTCTTAGATTCAAGAGCTGCTGACTATCCTTCTTCAGTGTTCTTTCTCCTCCCCACCGCCATGCCTTGAATCCACCCTTACACACACACACACACATACACACACACCATGAACACATGCACCATGCACATATGCACCATGCACACATGCACCCTTCCACATGATTACAGCCTGCTTGGCTCTTCCCAGCCATCCACAGCTACACCATGTGGTTAGAAGAACAATAGCAAATCACAAAGCCAGCTGCACACATTAGCGCGTGTCCATCAGGCTGTGCAGGAGAACTTTAAAATGACCTCTTCTCAAAGAAATCACGCAATGGGGTTAAAAAGGCAACAAAACAAAAAATAAGACCTTTTCCCTCCAACTCTAGAGTGGTTTATTTTAGCTTCTGGTGATAACAGTCAAACACTGTATTCTTACTGCCATAATGCATCATACAGTGAATCCTGTGAACACTAGCTCGTATGCAAATGTTAGGGGAAATCCTTGGGACTGGGTAAAATATGGCAGAGATAGATAAATTTGCTTCAAAAATATTATCATTACAGTTTGCTAAAGAGGCAGCTGAAACCTACCATTCCTGTCTCCTAAATTTGTAGCAGGCAGAAAACACATAGACACACACACACACACACACACACAGAGACACACACACCCCCCTATGTTTATGTCTGTGTGTACATACATATGTATAGATAGACTGATTGGTCTATGGCCATACCGCCCTGAAAGTGCCTGACGTCATCTGATAGATTGGTTGATTATGGTGGGGGTGGTTCTCCAGTTGGCCATTCTGAAGGAATCTCAGCAAGAGATACAGTAATAAACCAGATGAAGCAAACCTGGGTGGGAGGAGTTGACTTCATCTGTGATCTTATTGTTAAGATAGAGCACATCACATTTCACTGGCCTAATTTTCCGTAGACCTTGATTTGAGGTTTGTTAATGTCATCATTAATGACACACACAGCTTAGAAATACAGTAAAGCACTTTAGCAGTTGCTCTCCCTGGAAAAAGAACTATTTAGTGATAAGATTAAATTTGTGTGGGCTGATTAGCTAAACATTATCTGGTACAAATTGTCCACCACCTTGAGAGAAGCTGATAAACACATCATTAACTCATCACGATTTCTACAGAGGGGACCTCTTATCAGAAGGCCATCCAAGCCATGACGAAGCATCACAAATAGCAAGGAAATTGCACACTAGACTGTAGAATGGGGACACTGCCCACTGTACATGGAAGGTTATACCCAGGAGAAAGGCTTGGCATGCTAGGGCTTTGTCTTGTGTAACCCAGCAACTTAAACCACCTGGGGCCCTAATCTGAAAAACATGCTTTCTCTCAATTGTCACCAAGCATTGCCCAACCTATTTGCCGTCTGATTTTAGGGACTTACATTAAGACTTCCACAATGGCAGTAAGCAGCTGCCTCAAGATTGGAACGATGTTTTGCCTTTGGAGTCTTCGGTGTGAGTTTCCATGAACCAATGCGTGCCTTCCACAGAGGAGCTCAAGAAACGTGTTAACTGGAATTAAAGGCTAAGTGACTCTGTGACAGGGACTTTACAGATCTCGAAGTTTTAGATGATGAAAACCAAAGGGCAGGGAAACACTTCTCTAAGTGTCTTGGGGGAGTTTGAACTCGCTCAGTAGCCTGGTTGTGTCCAGGGACAAGCAGGCTGTTATTTCCCACAGGGCATCATTCCTTCCTGATGATAGGGTAGGTCAAGTCACAAGACCCCTGAGTAGGTGGTGACCACAGAGACGGCCTCATGACCTACACTGAACATTGCACTGCTGGCTCACGATGAGATGATGCCCGTGGTGAATGACCACCCAGTGCTGTAACCCGGCCATTTTTCATATTGGCTTTTGAAGAGCTGATTTTAGCCAAATGGGTCAAATCAATGACATCAGGGACTTAGCAAGGAATTGATGGCTTAAAATAAATGAATGAACTGTTCTGGTTTATACTATTGGTGACAGCAGCATGTAATTAGCTTTGTGGATCCCTATTTGCAAAAGCTCTGAATTTTTCCCACTGTGTGGAATTTGCCATCAACATAGCCACCTTCATCAGAAAGTCAATAAGCCATGTCCCCTGTGACTCCTCATTGTCACTCTTTTATTTTCAAAAAGTGACTCCTTTTCTCGCTGGGAAAATCCTAAGCTCACTAGTAGGCCCAATATGTTTTTCTTGGTTATGCTAACTATGTTAGGGAGAGGGCCGTCTAGCAATGGAGCATGATATGAGTGTTTACAAAGTTATAAAGTCCATAGGAGAGAGCACTTGGCAAATTGCATCTATGTGCTGACTAGGAGGAAAAAGTTGCAAGTTTTTAGTTTTTACTGGCTACCCAATACCAACTGATTATAAAAAATCACTTACATTAACTCTATGTATCTCATCCTAGGGCCCCGTAAGTCAGTGGATAAAGCACATCACTCACGAGCTCTGAAGTGTACTCAGAATGAGGCACCCAAGTTGCCAGGGCCATGGCCTGTTGATGACAGGTTGCATCTCATTTTGAAACATCACTTTTAATGATGTTTAGATGCATGTATCTGTGGTCAGTTTGGAGAAGCACTAGAAAATGAGACTATAAAGAAGGTTTTTGAAAATAACTTTGGACCAGTATGGTAGCTTATGCCTATAATCCCAGCACTATGGGAGGCTGAGGTAGGAGGATCATTTGAGCCCAGGAGTTCAAGGCCAGCCCGGGCAACATAGTGAGACCTTGTCTGTACAAAAAATAAAATTAGCTGGACATGGTGCATGGGCCTATAGTCCCAGCTACTTGGGAGGCTAAAGTGGGAGGATCTCGAGCCAGGGAGATCAAGGCTGCAGTGAGGTGAGATCGCACCACTACACTCCAGCCTGGGCGACAGACTGAGACCATCTCAAAAAAGAAAAAAAAAAAAAAAAAAGGAAAGTAACTTTGAAGGCAAAATGCAAAACAGTTATTGTAAAAGATATTCCTAGTGAAAAATTCTTTTAATGAAAGGCATTTTGGTCTAGTTGATTTTTCAATACCTTTTTCAATCCTAGGGATTGTTCATCTGATGATTTAGAAATGCTCATTCAGATTAGTTCAGCAAATATTTATTGGGCTTCTACCATGTGCTTGAGTCACTGGAGGTATAAAGATAAGATGATCTCCTCTTATAAGACATATATCAGATTATTTTGATTAGAAATTGCAAACATGATCTCCAGAAGAGTGTATGACCTCACCAGAAATATATGATTAATATCAAAGGAAAATAATAATATGCACCTGTGCTGTCTTTTTACCTACCCCATCAGTCACAAGGATAGTTAGAATGTTCAGTCAAGATCACTGGCACATGGCTGGGTGCAGTAGCTCATGCCTGTAATCCCAGCACTTTGGGAGGCCACGGCGGGTGGATCACCTGAGGTCAGGAGTTCAAGACCAGCCTGGCCAACATGGCGAAACCCTGTCTCTACAAAAAATACAAAAATTAGCTGGGCATGGCGGCAGGCACCTATAATCCCAGCTACTTGGGAGGCTGAGGCAGGAGAATCGCTTGAACCCAGGGGGTGGAGGTTGCAGTAAGCGGAAATCACGCCACTTCACTCCAGCCTGGGTGACAGAGCAAAACTCTGTCTCAAAAAAAAAAAAAAAAAAGATCACTGGCACAATAATGAAATGTATTTTTCATTATTGGCCAGTTAACTGTGACCATTTTTCTGAATGACACTTTCCAGGTGAGACTCAGAAGTGCAGGCCCAACACTCATCTATGAGTGCTGATTCCAGGTGGAGAGCGAGTGTTTGGGTCCCATGCTCACCTTGGTCAGATCGAGGAGCCTAAATCTACCCATCTTGTTATTATATAAATGGCTCCTGTCACCAGAGGATCTCAGATTTTAAGGCCTTGAGATTTCTTGATCTTTAATCTTCAAGTACTGATAAACACACTAATCTTCAGGGTCAAGGAATAAGGAAGAGGTTTACATTTTACCCAGCTTTTAGATGTTGAGATATGCTCTAATGAGATTGGCTGGTTATCACTTTCATGACAGAAACATCATCTAGACAGATTATAAAATGCTTTAGAGAGCATTCTTTCAGAATAAGATTAAAAAGGGAATGGATATTACTTTGCTGTAAATGTGTGTGGCTATTAAAACTTTCAGATGTTCTCTCTAGACCAGGTGAGCTGGTTTATGCCTGTAATCCCAGCGCTGGAGGATCGCCTGAGCCTGGGAGTTCAAGACCAGCCTGGGCAACAATAAGACCCCATCTCTTAAAAAAAAAAAAAAAAAAAAAAAAAAAAAGGCAGGTGTGGTGATAATGCCTGTAGTCCTAGCTACTTGGAGGCTGAGGCAGGAGGATCACTTGAGCCCAGGAGGTTGAGGCTGCAGTGAGCCACAATCATGCCACTGTACTCCAGCCTGGGCAACAGAGTAAGACCGTGTTTCAAAAAAAAAATTTCTCTCTCTCTCTCTATATAGACATATATATACACACATCTATCTATATAAACACACATCTATCTATCTGTATCTATACCTAATCTATCTATTTTTGAGTAAGGGTATTTATTATAGGAGGGTCTACATATGAAGCTGATGATTTATTTCTGCTAATAAAGTCCTGCTAGTTAACTAATAGGAATGAGTTGGCACCATGTATGAGGGGAAATAAAGACTAAATGTGTATATGTAAGATCTACATCCCCTATTCCATCCTTCTACAACTTAGAACAAGAGTCAGTTATATACCGAGGTTTTGGTTAGAATATTTTTAACTTTCCTGCCAGCCATGTGTCTTAGTTGGAGTGTGGAGAGCTACGGCATGTGTGAAGGGCAGCCAAGCATTTATTTGCTCTCCTGATGCTCAGCACAAGGAGACAATCTGACTACAAAGATTTGCATCCCCAGAAGATTCTTGCTAGGCACTGTGACATCCCCAAACTTAATTTTCTGTTTTTTATAATCCTGAGGCCATGAGAAACAATAGATTCATTAGAATGTAAACTCCTGAAGGCAAGGAGGCACTCAACAATCCTCTAACACACAAATGAGTAAATAAACGAACAAATAAATGGACACGTGAGTCCCCCCCCTTTAGGACCAAGCATGGGAATCTATAACACTGCTACAGATGCTCCTAGGCTGATGTTTTGAGTCACTCAGGTCACCAGATGGCCATGACTTCCCAAGGTTACATGCCCATAGCTATCACACCCAGGCTACCTTGCCTGGAGGCAAAGGTACAGCCCTCAGGCAGACCGTCTTTGGGAAGGTTGCTGATGACTGCCTAGAACACCCCATTTTATGGCCCAGCAACAGACATTTTAGAAATACTGAGAGGCAGTGAAGATGGCGCGTTCATAAGATGACGTGCTTTCCTGCTCTGCGTGGTGTTTTAGTGCATTCTGTGTGTGAGTGAATCTGCAGGCAACTCAGACAGGGACTATGGACTGGCTATTTTTGCTTTCTGCTTAAAGGTAGTTTTGCTCTTTTGGAGAACAAATCCACCCATCAAGGCGTCAAGGCAGGGACGATGACAACTCACACAACTAACATTGGGTTCTTTGCAGAACATGGCCTGGTACAGGGTTACTGCTCAATAAATGCTTTCTGATAATGATATCACATTTTAGTTAAAGAATAGTCAAACACAGCCATGGCTTTACAAATATACATACAGAGTTATTTCTGTTGTCCCTGAGAAACCACTCGGGAGTATTTCAGGTTATGTGGAAAGCCCTTACTTGGATGATTTCAGGCCTCGAATGAATTTTAAAATCACTGGGTGCAAGCTGTGTACCTGAGGTGGGAACCGTATCGGAGGGGTCTTTGTCAGGACATCTGATTTCCGCTCCTTCTCTTACCTGAAATGAGACACACAGGGAAATAAGGAAAATGGATTTTTCTAAACTGGAAATGGGTGAGAAGTGGGGCCTCTATTTTGGAAAACATCATTTAAGATAAAGTAAAACTTTGATGTCATTTAAGATTTCTCCCTCTCCTTCAACACTCATATCCAATTGTCCACATCTTTTCCAAGTGCTCCCAAATCTGTTCCCTCTGCTCCAGTGCCTCTGCCTCCACCTAAGTTCAGGCCTTTGTTATTTCTTGCCAGGATATTGCAATGATTCACCAGCATCATGGCCGTCTGCCCCACAGACTTGCTCCTCACCCTCTGAATCTATCCAGAGTGGTCATTCTCAACGTGATCTGATGTGTCACTCCTCTGCCCAAGTTCTCAATGAAGGCAGGGATTTTTATCCATGTTGTTTGTTATTGTGTCCCCAGAGCCTAGAACAGTGCCTGGCATAGCAGATGCTCAACAAGTATTTGTTAGTTGAACAAATAAGTTACTACACCATATTAACTTCAGCAAAAAGTCCAATCTCCCTAGCATGGCCTAAGAGGCCTCTAAATATTCTAAACCACCAGCCCTTGACCTAAGTCTCCATATTTCCCTGCATCCAGGCCTTTGCCCAAGTAGTTACCCTCTCCCCTTTCACTTTCCTTTCTTCTATTTGCTCACCCTCCCATCAATCTGCCTCAGCCTTAGTCACCCTTCAAGACTGAGGTCGTGGGTATCCTTTGGAAAGCCTTCTTCAACTTTCTCCTGTCTAGGTTAGTTTCTCTTCCTCTGTGTTCCCAGAATACCCCATGAAAACATGCATTACAGTACCTATTATAGTACCATTGTGCTATAATTGCCTGTTGACTTGTCTATTTCTCTACCAGACTGAGTTCCTTGGGACAAGTCCTATTTTTTATTTACATTTTAATCTCTCATACCTGGTATCCATCCATCCACCTATCCATTCATTTTTTCATTCAACAAATAGTTATTGCTGCCTACCCTGAGTTCCTGCCTCACTGAGCTTGCATTCTAGTGGTACACAGCAGATAGTCAATAAATGTGTCCTGAAGAAATGTATCACTGCATTTATCCAATGATAATGATAGCAATACTTATATAGAACTCATGGTATGCTAGATTCTATTATAAGTGCTTTATACTTACTGACTTATGACATTAATAACTCCGCAAGGTACGACTATTACTGTCATTATTTCCCAGGTTAAAAAACTAAGGCACAGAGAGGTTAAGTATCTTGCTCATTGACACAGAGCCCATAAGTGAAAGAGTCTGCATCTGAACCCAGAGCTGGTTACTTTACCTCACTGTGCCATGCTGCGTCTCAGGTGTATGCTCATTGCTATGCTGGTTAGTGTGAGTCAAGTTGATAAATCGAGTCTTTCACACTGTGTCTGTCAGGGTGGAAGCCCAGGCCATCAACTCTGCCTCCACTATTTGGAGCAAATCTCACCCTTTTCCATAAAATAGGGAGGGAAGAATGTCACTAGGACCAAATTTGTCTCAGCTCACCTCAGTCCCCCCTTCTCTGGGAAAGAAGACATCAACCCTTGAGTGTTCCTTGCTTTCCCAGAGGAGTGCAGGGTGCCCTGCCTAATCTCCATGGGAAGTCTCAGGGAGACTCCTGAGAAAAGCAGTGAGCAAGGCATGAGCGCCCGTCAGGGGCCCCCTACCAGTGTGGACCCACTCAAGGGCTTTCGAGCTCCACACAATCTGGGTTCAGACCTCACCACAATTCTCCGCTCTTTCTTAATTTTCTCTTCAGATGAAGTTCTCAGATGATTTTAGAAGAATTTGTCAGAGATTTGGGAAGGGTCAGAAGAATCTGTCTTACATCAAAACAGATTGGGAACAGGAGGTGCTGGGCAGTGCAGACACTCTGTCAAGCCTCCCATGCTGGTTGCGGAGGCAGCTCGGAAGATGAACTGTGGGGGAGACCTGCTTCCAGGCACCCAGGGGATGGCCACATGCTGGATCCTTCTCCCTCCCCCAGCCTGTCCTGACTGAACATCAGCGGTTAGTAGCAGACCTCCATATGCCTAGGGGCAGCGGGAGTTCCAGGATGTTAAGAACCACATGGAATGGCTGGGCGTAGTGGCTCACATCTGTCACCTCAGCACTTTGGGAGGCTGAGTTGGGTGGACCATGAGGTCAGGAGTTCGAGACCAGCCTGGCCAACATGGTGAAACCCTGTCTCTACTAAAAATACAAAAAAATAGCCGGGTGTGGTGTTGCGCGCCTATAATCCCAGCTACTCAGGAGGCTGAGGCAGGAGAATCGCTTGAACCCAGGAGGCTAAGGTTACAGTGAGCTGAGATCACACCATTGCACTCCAGCCTGGATGACATAGCGAGATTCTGTCCCCGCCCTCCTCCCACCAAAAAAAAAAAAAAAAAATTGTATTGAGGTTGCAAATCTGGCCAGTTGATCTGCTTTAAAATAATCCAGGCTGGGCGCCGTGGCTCACATCTGTAATCCCAGCACTTCGGGAGGCTGAGGCAGGCAGATTGCTTGAGGTCAGGATTTCAAGACCAGCCTGGCTAACATGGTGAAACCCCGTCTCCACTAAAAAAAATACAAAAATTAGCCAGGCATGGTGGTGTGCGCCTGTAGCCCCAGCTACTCAGGAAGCTGAGGCAGGAGAACTGCTTGAACCCAGGAGGTGGAGGTGGCAGTGAGCCGAGATGGCACCACTGAACTCCAGCCTGGGCAACAGAGTGAGACTCCATCTCAAAAGAAAAAAAAAAAAAAACCACGTGGAAGGTTCGAAAGATTCAGCAAGAAGTACAGCCCCTGGTTCATCTGCATGTTTGTCAATTACAGAAAACCTTTCCTTACCTCAAGCTTGTCTTGGGGTTTCTGCAGTCTGGTCAGGTAGTTGCTGTTTCTGTAGCTGAACAGATAGGGGCTCTCCTGCAGGGAAAGGTGACATGTTGGAATCGTGACCCTAGAAGTCTGTATCCCTTAATTATCAGGCTTCAGCATCCAGTGATGCTTTTGGCCAACTAGGAACATTCACATCACGCTTCCAGTGAGGACCAAACCATTCTCTGGCTCTTCTCTCTGGTCCCTGAAGGACTCATGAATGCGTTGACATTTCCCATTTGTGATAGCCAGTCTCTCTTGCTCTTTACCCTGGGGGTTCATGCTACCAGGCTAAGTATATATATTTTGATGAGAAGGGAATCTAATTTTAAGCTTCTTGGCAGCCAAAGCAAAAAGTGCAAGAAGGTGAATTGTATACTTATTATTGCATAGTAACAAAAAACTTACCAATTCATCAAGAAAGCCAAATACTTGACTAGCATTAAATGATAGAAAGACTAAAAATACAAAAAAATTAGCTGGGTGTGGTGGCACGTGCCTGTAGTCCCAGCCACTTGGGAGGCTGAGGCAGGAGAATCGCTTGAACCCGGGAGGCAGAGGTTGCAGTGAGCCAAGATTGTGCCACTGCACTCCAGCCTGGCAACAGGGCGAGACTCCGTCTCAAAAAAAAAAAAAAAAAAAAAAGAAAGAATCTCATTCATTTATGTCCAGTTATTTTCTCATCCACTTATTTGGAAACATTAATTATAAGCCTACTACATACTAGGCACATATTTAAGATGTAGTCAAAATGATCCACTTTTCAGGTACTTAGATACTCACCATCCCTCCCTTCTTTGCCACTCTGAGGTAGAGGAAGGTCTGGAAATGGCATCTGGGGCAGAGGGCCAGGACCCAGAGGCAGCATTTGGGGCCAGGTGAGCTGTGGCCTTGTTCCTATGCCTTCCACAGGCATGGAGGGGGCTGCAGTTTTGCTAGAACAGCTCTCATGGCCCACAACTGTAAACATTAGGGCTGCTATGTATGCAAAACTGTGTGCAGGCCCAGAAGAACAGAAACAGGATTCACATCTCAGGTAAGACCCACTTCACAGCAAAGCCCACTTGGCCACCCCACCTGCGCCCTCGATTCAATAAGAGTCCCTCCTCTGCCCAGTCCCTCCTACCTGAGAGGGACACTTCATTGGCCTCCCGTGTTTTACACTCAATGGCTCATCTTTCTCTCCTGCTGGCTCCATCTAGAAAGGAACGTGGGCTTTAGAACAGGGAAGTTTTGTGCAGGTAGCAGCCTGCCAAGTCACCAGTGAGAAAGACTCATTAGTCCAGCAGCAGTACCAGGGAACGCATTAGAAATGCACGTGTCCAGCCCCCATCCCCAAACTACTGAGTCTGAGACTCTGGGGCTGGGGCAGCAGTCTGTGTTGTAAGCAGCTCTCCAGGCGATTCTGATGCACACCCGAGTTTGAGAACCACAGCATGAGAAGCAGCATCGGTTTTATATATATATATATAGAAGGGACTTCCTAGTCTACCTCTCCTAGAAGGAAAAGCTGCACAGCAGAGGTTGAGGTGGGGCCCAGCCAGCCAGGACAGAGCTGGGACTCCAACATTGGTGTCCTGCATCCAACCAAACATCTAGCAATGGGTCACACAGCTTTCTGATCACGTGGGGGCCGGTTATCCAGCTTGGCTTCTTGTCCCCTCCTTGCTGCCCAGCTACTTTCTGGCTCACTGATTCAAGTTCCCTTAGACAGGAGAGCCAGTATGGGAAGGAAGGGCAAATGCATCGCTTTTTACATAAAGCATGTATTCTTTCCCAAGTCCTCCCCGCAGCCTGTGTCCACAACCCAAATGTAGGTAAATCTGCGCACAATAGAGAATGGAAACCCTCTGTTCCCTGAGAACTGCTTTCACAGCTTTGAGTGAAGCAAGTTATGGGGCCTGGGTCAAGTCTCATGTCTTTCACGGGGTCACAAATACAGTGACATGGAACACAGCACAGCCAACACTCACAAACCGCTAGAGTATCTAGTGAGCCAGGAGTGGGTGGTGTGGTATCCGCTGTGAAATAGGCAGCTACTTAAATGACAACCACGAAGGCCATCAAATGACATCTAATAACGTAGATAAAACATTTATAGTATAACAGCAGGAGAAACCAGCAGATTATCAACTTAGTAAAGCATTAGACATAGGGAAGTGAAGGCCGTTAAAGAATTAGAGGGAAGGAGGGATTTTTTTTAAAAGTTGTTTTTGTTATTTTTAAATGTTCATTATACATATATAAACACTTACAAAGAAAAATGCAATAGCTTGGAGGGATTGCAGATTTTCTTCTGCACGGGCTATTTCCTACTGTTGGAGAACCAGTTTTACTGTCATCTGGCTGCCCACAGGTGCTGGGCTCTGGTCGTACCTCTGGCCCTCACCTCCCCTTCCAATGACTCTGCCAAGGAACGTGGGAAGCTACTGGATGGGGCAGCCTGTCTGGCTCAGTCACAGCTTCTACCAACCTCCATGAGGATTTTCAGATTCCTCAGCGGTATCTTACCCCAGCATCTGTGCCCCAATAAGCAAGAAACAAGAAAAGAACTTTACCCTTAGTGGAATTGGCTCTTCAGCCAGACTGAAAGAGAATCAGATAAGGAGGTATAATTAGCTGAACATTTGGAAAAGGAGTGGCAACTCTCTAGCTCAAGGCCTAGGAGAGGAAATGGACTCCACGCTTCTTTCTGTTTTATTCTGATGGTGGCCGCTCCTAGAAACAAGGTCCCACCTGGAACATTCAAGGCGGCTGTCAAAGGAAGTATTGAGCAGGCCTGGGTGAGGGCCAGGTGCTGATCTGTCTTGCCACCTTCTCTTCCCCAATTTTTTTTTTTTCTTTTTTTTTTTTTTGGAGACAGGGTCTCATTCTCATTGCTCAGATTGGAGTGCAGTGGTGCGATCACAGTTCATTGCAGCCTTGACTTCCTGAGCTCCGGTGATTCTCCCACCTCAGCTTCCCGAGTAGCTGGGACTATAGGTGTGTGACACCATACCCAGCTAATTTCTTGTATTGTAGTAGAGGCAGGGTTTTTGCCATGTTGCCCAGGCTGTTCTCAAATTCCTGGCCTTAAGCATTCCTCCTGCCTCGGACTCCCAAAGTGCTGGGATTACAAGCATGAGCCACCACGCCCACCTTTCCCCAACCTTTCAAGAATTTAATCCATAATGGAATCTGGAAAGAAACCTTGAAAGAGCCATATCTAAATGACTCTGACAAAGTGGATAAAGCAGAGTCTATTTTTTTTTAAAGGGCCTCAAAGAAGGAAAATTCATAGATTTTCCCAAGAAACCCATTTCCGTTGAGAACTTTGTCCTAAATGTCCCTTTAGGAGTCCCCTCCATCCTCCTTGCTTCCATTCATTCCCTTTACACTGGCTCTGACCCTTTCTTCTCCTGCATCCCCAATCCCCAGAAAGGATGGAAATGACACAGTTACTTCAAATAATTCCTCATGTGTGCCTCTTTCTCCTGCCACACTGTGGGTCCCATAAATGCACATGTGCTATTTACTCCAGGGACAACCGGGGCTGGTCTGGGCTTCCACCCCACTCTGCACATCTCCCCAGCACGGCTTCCTGCCACCGAGGAATGAACTGCAGTGTGGGAGGGGTGAGGGCAATGACCTTAAAAATCCTCTCCGAGCAGCAGAATCCTCCCTGGACTGTGAGCAATCCCCAAGTTCCTTATTCTGCCTGTGGCTTCGGCACCTGGTGTAGACTCGGCATAAGGTGGGGTCAGTGATTGCTGAGAGGGCCAGGGACATCAGTTCCCTAAAGGTGGGTCCCCTTCAAAACGACTGATGTACAAGAATTACCAGAAATTATTGCGGCAGCAGCAGAAAGGGCCTAGGGAATGAACCGTGTCCCAGACACAAAATCCTCCTCGGCTTGGCACCAGGAGTGCAAGCTTCAGCCTGGAGGCCTCACTCAGCCAGGACAGTTCCAGGCATGTTTAGATGGGGCTGCTGTCACCTCCCATGCTGATGGGTGGAGCTTTTCCTTTGCTGGTCCTCAATGCTCACCTATGCTAGGGCTTGGAGGATGAGGGAGGGAGGGAGGATGCTGACGTGGTCTGGGTATGTGGCTTTGTGGGCTGCAGAGCTGAGAGCTATCCTCCTTCCCTACAGCTGTGTCCGGGGGTGTCTGAGGACAGAGTAATGGACCTGGACTCCCTGTGATCATGGGGATTCTGCCAGTCCCTCTCTGCTCCCCACACAGAGGGCAGCCCTCACCTGGGCTCTGTGTGTCTGCGAGGGTAGACACAGAACAGGTACACCTGCCTTCCACCTCGATGTCCCAGTCCAGCCCAGCAAAGAATCACAGATGTGGTGGCAGAGACTCCCGCCCTCCCCGCACCTGGAGGATGCAATTAGCGAAACCAAGGGTAGGAAGGAGCCCAATGCCCTCCCATATTTTCACAAACCCTTGGGTGCTGGCTAAGGGTGCTTAGACCTTTTTGGCAGGTAGAGAAAATGGACACCCCGAAAGACCGTGTGACTTGCCTCAAGAAACCACCGAAAGTGGGACCGAAATCAGAGCCCGGGTTTTCTGGCTCCTGTCCAGTGCCCTTCGCCCTAACCTGTTATACCCGTCGCTTCTCATGGCTGAATTCGGGTCTGCAGGAGCTTCTGATGTGTTCCAGCAGCTGTGCTCGATCCGGGAACTGTGGGATGGTCTGGCATTTTGCTTGTGAGGAAACGAGGGACTGGGGATGCTTGGGGAACCCCCTCCTATCCTGTCTCTCCCTGCCCCCCATGTCCCTGCTGGCTGAGGCTGCAGGAAGCTTGGGGTTTGCACTGGCACTGGGAAACCGGACTTGTATGGGTGTGGAGAGAGTGAGGTCACTGCTTACCTAGGAAAGCCACATCCTCCTCCTCTTCTAAGCCCTTGTGACACTCTCTGTGTCGCAGGCCTTTGGCCTTGAGGGTGAGACCTTCCATTCCTGTGTACGTGCTCATTCTGACCCTCGAGTAGTTTTAAGAGACCGTACGTGGGGTGTACCTTATTTGTATGCATGGGACCATCACCTGGCAGCTCTGTAAAGGTGGTTATTATTGCTATTGCCACCAATATCAAGGACAAATAGCATGATGAAAGGAGAAAGGGATAGGAATCCAGCCCTCTCCCTGGACCTGCCCTCTCCAGCTTCTCTGTCTGGTGCTCAAGGGCTCCTTTCACGCTGGGAGCCTTATCTCCGTATCTCTTCTCTTATCAGACAGGCCTCTTCCTGCCCTTGCTGCTGCATCTGACGCATTCTTCTCTCCATGCCCTTTGCTCACAAAGGTCCCTTTGCCTGGGAACGCCCTCCGTGACCTCCTCCAACACATTTCACAAAGCCCATTCAAATCCCCTCTTCATGGGCTCTCCCGGCCTCATTGTTCACATTGCTTCTTGGTGCGTGGCCCAGCACAACACTGCTGGCTGAGTCCCTTTTGACTCTCGTTCCTCTGGGCTGTCTGGCCCTTCCCAGCTACACCTGAAGCCTGGTGAGAACAGAAGCCACATTTGGTGGGTCTCTTGTATCCCCCTTGGAACCATGGAGGGTACAAGGGCAGGGTACAAGGTGGTATGGTGGTACCTTCAAGGGCAAGCCATGTCACAGGTGTCCTTTTGTTGGTTGGGAGAAAGATGGCAGGAGAGGAGAGGTTTGGCTGAGCTGGAATCATCAGCCCTCCTCTCCCTGAGAGAGGGCTTGGGAGAGCAGTCCCTGCTGGAGGGGCCAGGTTCCTCTTCTCTGCCCATCATGGGAGATCAGCAGCAAAGTGGATTTCTGGGGACATAGTCCCCGCAAGTGCCAGGCACACTGAGAGACGTCCCTGTTCAGAGAACTCAAATGCCTTCTTCAAAGGACAGACAGTAGGTTTCCAGTGCCAGGGACTGTCGGAGGCCGTGCCCCTTCCCTCCCTACACTCTGTTTCACACTGGCTCATGTGTGCTGAAATGCAGCTGTCCCTGGTACTCAACACAGTATGTCAGTTGTGGAGACGGATCCACAAAAGAAGAAAAATGAATTTCTGTCACTAGAATTCTAAAAATAAGGCAGCTTGGGTGGGAAGAAAATAAATGGCAAATTCAGGTCTCTGTCTGACGCCCTGAAAAGGTTCAAAGCCTCGACGTCGACGCCACATTCCATCCCCTGACTAATCCCAGATATCCCTGGGGGCCCTTTGGAATCTGGGGATATCCTGTTACAGTTACAGTAAAAAGGCCAATCCACGTGGAGTGCTTACTACAGGCCAGGAGCGAGCTGCGCGCTAGATATGTTGGGCCAGGGGCTGACCTGGATTTTGCAGAAAGAGCATTGAGACCTGAGTTCACAGAGCTTGTGAGTGGTGGGCTTAGCATTCCAACCCAGGCCTTCATCACGCTGCAGCCCACGCTTGTTCCAGGCACCACCTTGGGCCTTGACAACCGCACAACACCGCCTAAGTGTGAGGGCAGGCTGGACAGGAATGGTGAGGGGAGCACATTCCCCAGTGCTTGACTCAAGCAGGTCTTCCACACAGACTCTGAGAAACGGCCCCACCTCTGGGAAACCAGGGCTGAGGCTCCTGTGAGACCTTTGCTGCTCACTGGCCTGGCTGCAGCGCAGAACCTGTGGCGAGGCAAAGTCTCAGGCAGTCAGAGAGGGGCGTCACCGGGAGACAGAAGCATCCCTGGTGGCCCAGAACCATTGTCCTGGGATCCTGGGGCGCCCTGCAGCCCCTCCTCAGCACGGTGGGCTCAGTGGTGGTGGAGACCTTGCCCCTCCTCTGTGGGCCCCACCCCAGGCCCCATCTACTCACCATCCTATTCCAGAGATGCCAGGCCAGCGTGGTAGAATCCTGGAGTCGGGGGTCCTCCTAAAAGAGAACCAGTTGACAGCGGGACCTTTTGTCTCCCCAGGAATGCAACGGACCTGCTACACACTTTGAAGCTCTCTCTGGCATAGAGTTGGGGCAGCCTGATCTGTCCAGGCCTTTTCTCTCAGCCCCTCATCAATAACAGGGGCACTTATGGGACCACCGTCTGGGGTCAGGGCCCTGAGGTCAGGGCCTGCAGGAGCAGGTGGCACGTCAGGCAGCTCCATGTCATCATGGGGTTCTCTGTCACTGAACTAAACAGTGGAAGGAGGGGGTGGCAGGGAATGATTCAGGTGTGATCTGAGTAGAAGGATGAAGGAAGGGAACGTGAGCTAATATTTCTCCTCACCCTCTTAAACCATCACTTTAAACACTGTTTGTGGTGTGGAGATGGCACAAGGATTCCAACAGGCAGGAGCCTGGAGGGAGGGACTGTTCCCAGACACGGGACTGAGGCTACGGAGACCTCGGTCAGCAAGTGTGGACCAAGTGCTACATGGTCTGGGTGGCCCCTTGCCCAGTGTCCTGGGGGAGCGGGCAAGGGCAACTGAGATTCCCCTCCCTTCCAGAGATGGATGGAGAGGAGCGTGCAGGGGGAGGGACAAGAGCTGGCATCCCTGGAGATTCTCTTCGGAATAACCACAATGGCCAAGAGGTGCGAGCACTTCCCCAGCACCGGATGCCACTCTACATCCCCCCAAGTATTAACTCATGTGGCCCTGATGGCCACCGAGAGAGAGAACATGTTACTAAATGGCCCTGATTTTACAGAACAGAGTTCAACACCTTGTCCAAGGTCACACAGCTGGTCACCCCAGAGCTAGGAGGGGAAGCTAGGCCATGCACCCTGGGCTGCCCTGCCTCTAACAGCACATTTCATGGGGGCTGTTCAACCCTGTGAGGAAATTGTACAGGAAAGTATAATATGGGGGTATTTCCCCTAAGACTATGCATCCTGGGTTCAGGAGAGCTGAACTGGGCTGAGGCTTATTGGGGTAAGGTGGAAGAGGGGGCAGGAACAGATGTATGGCCCAGGCCTCCTCCCCACCACACTCTTCACACTTTTTTTTTTTTTTTTTGAGACTGAGTCTCGTTCTACTGCCCAGGCTGGAGTGCAGTGGCAGGATCTCAGCTCACTGAAGCCTCTGCCTCCCAGGTTCAAGCGATTCTCATGCCTCAGCCTCCAGAGTAGCTGGGATTACAGGCGCCCACCATCATGCCTGGCTAATTTTTGTATTTTTAGTAGAGACAGGGTTTCACCATGTTGGCTGGGTTGGTCTTCAACTCCTGATCTCAAGTAATCCACCCACCTCGGCCTCCCAAAGTGCTGGGATTACAGGAGTGAGCCACCATGCCCGGCCCCCACCACACTCTTGATACGCCATGCAGCCCCCACTTACCGAGTGTAGAGATGGGGTGGTCTCATAGAAGAAAGGCTGGAAAACCACGGTGAAGGACTCCTGCTCACTGTACCTGCTGGAGGCCAGGAGGCTGTTCCAGGCTTCCTGGAGAAGGGAGCAGAGAGGTGCCCATCCAGGAACATGAGCGAGGCAGAGCCGGCCCCAGACCTGACCAAATCATTCTCGGCAGCCCTGGGACAGGATCTGCCTCTTGCGTTGTGGTCAAGTGCTATTCTGAAGCTCCCTCTTGTCTCACCCTTCAGGGCTCTTTGATAGCTAAGCTGAGTTTTCATTTGTCTCTGAAGTACCAGCATTAGGTAATACCACAGACAGACCTAAAATATATTCTCTGGAAGCTTAGGAACGACAAGACAGCCCAGCGTGTGGCAGGGCCCCCTGCTCTCTTCAAGAGCTAAGTTCAGTAGAGTCAGGTGCCTTAACCACTCAAAAAATGTTGTCATTTCCAGAGCGAGAGAGATACCATGCAACTTCAAATGCAATTTTCTTCATAAGCAAAAGTCATCATGTTAACACATGCTAACAGAAACCGTGCTTTGAGCTGTTTGCTAAGAGGGATGGTGGCTTTCATTGAGCCCTTCGCCCTTATTTATTTATTTATTTATTTAATTTATTTATTTTTGAGACGGAGTCTCGCTGTCTTGCCCAGGCTGGAGTGCAGTGGTGCGATCTCGGCTCACTGCAACCTCCACCTGCCAAGCTCAAACGACTTCTCCCGCCTCAGCCTCCTGAGTAGGTGGGACTGTAGGTGCATGCTACCATGCCTAGCTAATTTTTGTATTTTTAGTAGAGATGAGGTTTCACTATGTTGCCCAGACTGGTCTTGAACTCCTGACCTCAAGTGATCTGCCCACCTCAGCCTCCCAAAATACTGGGATTACAGGTGTGAGCCACCACGCCCAACCCCTTCACCCTCTCTTGGGGTCTCTTCTGTGAACTGCAATGTGCATCTTCAGGAGCCCTGGTTTGCCTTTGGGCTGTAAGCTAGGGACAGGCACACTGGGCAAAACCAGCTCACCCACCCCAGATGTGGTACAAGTGGCACTGATGACCAAAAGCATTCCAGAATGAATCTTCGAAGTTCCTCACTATCTTTTGCCTCAAGTACCCCCACTGTCCCCCAACTCGCACCCCTACCAGTCCTGCAGGCCCCATTTTATATGCAGGAATACTGAAATCACTACCACGATGTGAAGCAAGAGTAGCTCTCTTTGCTCCTGACTTAGTCCTGAATTCAGCTGGAGAAGTCCTAACATTAGCAAACTCAACTAATTGTCCCTATCACTCCTGTTCTCCTTGGCGACCACGCCACCCCGGTGAGCCAGCAGCTTGGGATCCCAGGTTGGGCTCACCTGATAAGACCACTGCATCACCACCTTGGCCAGCCGGGTGGTCTCCTCTGAGCAATTACAGGGCTCTGGTGCAGGGCTGCAGGTTAAAACACACCAGGAATGAGAGAGGGGAGGCAGTGTGGGCAGGGAAGGGGATGCATCCAGCCCGCCTCTTATGGAAGAAGGGGCATAGGAGTTGCTTAAGGAGTAGGGATGAAGAAGCATAAGTCTTAGAGGACATAAATGTTGAGAAGAATAGAGGGTGGGTGGTCCCTTCTTGGGGGTTGGGTATGGGATGGAGGGAAGCTGTTCCTGGGGGGTGGGTATTGGATGGAGGGACGTTCTTCCTAGGGGGTCGATATGGGATGGAGGGAAGCTCTCCCTAGGGGGTGGGTATGGGTTAGGGGGTAGGTATGGGATGGAGGGAAGCTCTCCCTGGGGGGTAGGTATGGGATGGAGGGAAGCTCTCCCTGGGGGGTGGGTATGGGATGGAGGGAAGCTCTCCCTGGAGGGTGGCTATGGGATAGAGGGAAGCTTTTCCTGGGGGGTAGATATGGAATGGAGGAAAGCTCTTCCTAGGGGGTGACTATGGGATAGAGGGAAGCTCTTTCTCCCCCTTCATCTCTCAGTCCTCCTCCTCCCCGCTCACTGTTCTTCACACCAGACACCCACATCCCATTCCCCTTTCCCTCCCCTGTACCTTCTCTGTCTTGCATCCTCTTCAGAGCCCTCCTTCCCCAGCACCCCACTTCTCTCCTTTCCAGCACTCTCTTTTCTCCACCGCCCTTGCCCTGACTTTTTCCACATGAACTTCTTTTCTAGGTCCAGAGCCAGAATTCTTAGGATTTGGCTCCAAAAAGTTTAAAGTCTATGAACATTTTCAGAAATATATAGGAATCAAGTTCTGTGAAGTTAAACTACATTTAGGCTACGTTTTTCTATCCAATTTCCAGAAGTAACACTTCTTAGCTTATGGATGTTTTGCCAAGGCGAACTCTGAAATCACTCTGGCACTGAGGAGAGCCTCTGGCACAACATCAACCAGAATAAAAGAATAAAGTATTTTATTCTTTGACTCAGTCCCCAAAACAATGCTTGGCAGAGGGCCCACCCCACCCCGACTCTGCCACTCGCTCGGGTGTGAGCTCGCATGTGTTTCTCGGCCTCCTTTGGCCTCTGTTCTTTAGGGCTCCCTCATAGATTACGGCACATGAAGGGCCCCCACAGGCCGCACACGTGACAGCCGTGTCACAGATGCGTGTCTCATTCCACTTCCCCTTTTACCTGAGCCAAGTGCCGTGATACTGACGAGAGACCTCTGCAACCTCAGAGAGGTCCACCAGGTTTACAAATGCTCTGGGGACCTAGGAGGACACACAGAGAGGGAGGTGAGTATTTGCCAAGTCGCCATGGCTGCCGGGCTTTCTGGAACTCCTGCTTGGGCCCCGTTGGGGTGTGGTTGAGTGTGATGGGCCTCCCCTTGGTTAACTGGGCCTGATCCTTTGGGAGATGTTTGGTCAGGGTCAGTCTGCGCTGCCAGCCCTGCATCTGTGCCATCCAGAAACAGGACTCTCTGTCCCTCACGGTGGGCGGGGCGCCTCCCACCAGTGTCCACAGGGGAGGGAGACCACTGGGGCTATGGGCCTGCAGCCTCCTCCAGCAGAAAGCTGCCCTCCAGGGGAGCAAAGCGGAAGGCAGGGCCACAGCAACCCCCAGCTGATTCTCAGACCCTGCAGCAGCATCACGGTCACTGAGCAGAAAGGTCTTGAAGGTCCTCAGGCCCCCTCCATCTTATCCTCGCCCCAGTCTCAGGTAGAGAGAGGCCTTAGGGAAGAGCAGGGCCACCGAGGACTCAAGGAAGAGCCGAGTTTCTCTCAGAAGTTTCCTTTGCAGGAGTGGAGTGTGCTCTCCTGGCCCATGTTCTCATTTGAAAGGATGAGAAGATGGGGTGCTCTAAAGTTTCCCCTTTCCCGAGGGTCCCAGTCTCCCTCACAGGGGTCCATTTCCCCACCCCGGTGGAGGCCACATGAGGGTAAATGGGCCCCACTGCCCTTGGGGAAGCCCTAGGCCCGTGGCCTCACCTCCTGCTGCAGGTAGTCCAGCACCCCCATCAGCTCATCCACGCCGCCCGCCGCAAGCCCATTCTGTGAGAGGAGAACCGTGCTAAGTGAGGGTGCCTGCAGGAGGACCACGAGGTGAGGCCACCCAGACTCACAACAGGCCCATCCCTGCCAGGCAAGACCACAGGCAAAGGCACCATCTAGACCTGGCATTCCACAAAGGAGGACAGAATTCCCAGAGCTTCCTAGTTTTGTCTTCATTTTGTTCTTCTATTTTCTCCCCAACCCATCATCCACCTGGGAAAAACCAAACTCCCCACAGGTGAAAAGTTCCATCAGGAAAGGGCAAACTCAAAGTCAGAGCAAGATCAGAAATACCTGGTGTGATTCTGAAGCTCACACTGAGGGACAGGAGACTTACTCCCAAAGACTTGAGGAATCGCTTTTTCCCAAAGAAAATCAGGTCCAACAGGGAAATACAATTAACCCTGTATTTAAGGCCCCAGATGGGCCTCGGAACCTTCATGTGATCCTATTTTATTAGCTTTTCTCTTGCTGTGTTTGCCCTAAGATAAGCATTCCTAGAGAAAGAGTATGAGTGGGTCCTGCCACCTGAGTATTTAAAGACATCTCCCACGCACCCAACACACACACCACTCCCCTTCCTGCAGGTCATGAAAATCAACAAATGAAGGACCTCAAAAACGGACCCTGCTTTACCTTTTTTTTTTTTTTTTTTTTTTTGAGATGGAGTCTCGCTCTTTTGCCCAGGTTGGAGTGCAGTGGTGTGATCTCGGCTCAGTGCAACCTCCACCTCCTGAGTAGCTGGGATTACAGGCGCCCGCCACCATGCCCAGCTAATTTTTGTATTTTTAGTAGAGACAGGGTTTCACCATGTTGGCCAGGCTGGTCTCAAACTCCTGACCTCAAATGATCCACCTACCTCGGCCTCCCAAAGTGCTGGATTACAGGCTGGGTGCAGTGGCTCATGCCTGCTTTACCTTTTCAATGTGAAAAATAATAAAAATTACAAGACAAACTTCTAAGTTTGTCCCCTAACAAACAGCAGACTGGCTGTCCCCTAAGGCAACTTGGCTCAGACAGGAAGACAAGGAAGGCCAAGGAGCTGTTCTGTTTCCCGGAGGGGACACAGGCAGTGACTCTGGAGACAGCTGTCAATCACCTGGGCTGGCACCACACAGGAGGAAATGCAGTGTCCCTGTTTCTCTGCCCCTTCACCGGCTGTCCCTGCTTTGGTGTGAGGCTGGCTTCTGGGAGGCCGGGTCAGCCAGGTCTGTTACCGTAAAGCCTTCTGTCTAGTTTTCTCCTAAGTGAGCTGCTCCCTGACCGTGACATCAAACATCACCCTCTCTTTCCTGAAGAGCCCAGGGGAACTCTGTCTAGAGGCATCCTCGCTGCCCATCTGAACCATACCCACCGTCCCTGGAGAGGCGGGGGACCCTGTGTGGCTCTCTCTAGAGTGTGAATCTTGCTGTAGAAACCCCTGGTCAAGGTGTTTACTTGCAGCTGCAGAGGGAATTGGGGCCCACCCAGTCATTCCAGGCACTGCATGGTTGTCGCTCGGGACACCAACTGTCCCCATTTCTCAGTAAAAGACATTATGCTCCTATAAGATGTCCCTCCTCTATAAGGTCATACATAATAAACTCCTAGAACCCAAAGTCAGGAAAAAGCTGATTTCTTCAAATGAACTTGTACATTTCCATGTGTATCGTTTGCCCCCTGGTTTGGAAGAATGTCTATTATCAAACACGTGCCTGAGACCCAACTTAACTCTTTCTAATAAATTATTTTATTGGGATTTAAACCAAGGAATGGGATATTATTCAGTCAAAAACTAGAAACACGTTTAGGTTTCTTGAATCACACACCAGTGTACCCTCCAAAAGGCTGCCACCTGTAGCTAGAGACGTTTACAAGGGATAAATGTGTCTGTTTTCTTGTAATCAGCTCTTTTTTTCATTTTTTCTTCTGATTTTTAAAATCTTACTAATTAATAAAGCCAAATTTAACTAGAGAGCAGTAAGCAAGTGTCCAGATCCAAAAAGCATCCTCAGGTCACTGCTGTGAGCCAGCTCATCATTTACCTCCAAAGCACCTGCCTTCAGAGTCATTGTCACACCTAATGGATAGTTGCTGACTTGACTCTCTGACTTTGGTCATAAGAAACTCCTAAAGAACAACTGTGGACACAGGCCCTTGTTTATTTCCCATTAAATGAGCCCAAAGGTCTCCACAGGGGAAGAGAATTCAGGTCCTAAGTTGGGGCAGGACAGTAGCTCAACATTTCCTCTTAAGGGTAAAACATGTTTTTCTCGTGTGAACTTTTAGGAAACCCTTGACACCTGCTCTGTAAAGTCAGGTGGCAGCTGGTGCCCACCTTCTCAACATATGCCCACAGAGGGATCTCCAGTGGCCCCTGGGTCTCTACAGAGCATTTGTTTTGTTTTGTTTTGTTTTTAAAGACAGAGTCTCACTCTGTTGCTCAGGCTAGAGTGCAGTGGCATGATCTCAGCTCACTGCAGCCTCCACTTCCTGGGTTTAGTGATTCTGTTGCCTCAGCCTCCCGAGTAGCTAGGACTACAGGCATGCACCACCACACCCAGCTAATTTTTGTATTTTTGGTAGAGACAGGGTTTCACCACATTGGCCAGGCTGGTCTTGAACTCCTAACCTCAAGTGATCCACCTGCCTTGGCCTCCCAAAGTTCTGAGATTACAAGCATGAGCCACCATGCCCGGCCATCTACAGAGCACATTTTTACAACCACCGAGGGAGAGCTTATACCTGAGATGTGCTTTCAGAAAAATAAAAATGCCACGTAAGAACTTCTCAAACAAGGATGCTGAGCTACACCACAGGATTAGCTTAAACGGGGAGGTGTGGCCAGAGGTACCACTAGGAGGTGAGTGTGGGTCTGGGCTGTGAGAAGGGCAACACCAGCAGGCCTGGCCAGGAGGCCAAAGGAGCCAGGCCTAGGAGCCACAGGGCCTCTGGGGTAAGTGGAAGTGGAGGTGAGATTTATTCCAGGCATCAAAGCCTTGGTGGTTTTTGTGCAATAGGAAAAATCAAGATGGAAGAAGAAATAGAATAAAGAGGGAATTTGAGTGGAAGCTAGCTGGTGTTGCTGTAATTAGCTAAATTTATGGACATCATGTTATTGGTTTACAGCTGTTTAAAAATGAGGAGGCATGATTACTTTTGTCATATGTTTTGAACCAATTAAAAGTGTGAGCTTCTAAGTGTGAATAAACTCAATTCATATGTCATCAACATGACTAGATCTTGCAGGAATTTCTCATGTTGACAAAAATCATTAAGTCTGAGAACAAGTGTTGGGAAGGTTGTAGAGAATAGGTGCTCACTGCCACTGGTGGAAATATGAGAGTTCAGCCACTTTGGAGGGCAATTAGGAGGCAGAGCCTATTAAAACCCAAAATGTGCGCACCTAAAGACTGGTATAAGAATCTACTCCAGGCGCTTTTCTTGAGACTGTTTTTTTCTTTTCTTTTTTTTTTATTTTCTTTTGAGACAGAGTCTCTCTCTGTCACCCAGGCTGGAGTGCAGTAGTGCGATCTTGGCTCACTGCAACCTCTGTCTCCTGGGTTCAAGTGATTCTCCTGCCTCAGCCTCCCGAGTAGCTGGGACTACAGGTGCCTGCCACCAAGCCCGGCTAATTTTTGTATTTTTAGTACAGATGGGGTTTCACCATATTGGCCAGGCTGGTCTCAAACTCCTAACCTTGTGATCCACCTGCCTCGGCCTCCTAAAGTGCTGGGATTACAGGCGTGAGCCACCGCGCCCAGCTCTTGAGGCTGTTTTTATCTTGACCCACAGTGTGAGATGTGTTTCACGTCCCAATCCAGTACAAGTATCCATATAGAAATGATGCAAAAATCTCATGAACCAATACTTACCTTACTACATGCAATGAACTCGAGGATTTTAGAGTTTATTCTATTCTATTTTTTTTACAATGTTGGTTGCAATCCTTTAAATTGATTTTTTGACTCACTAATGTACTTCAGTCCACAATTTGAAAATCACTGTATCTAGGAAAACTCTTCCACATAGTCAAGTAAATGAGCAAGACTGTTCATTGTAGCATTGTTTATAATAGTGAAAAACTAGAAATACCTACATGGCCATCAGTATAGGAAAATGGTGAAATAAAATGTAGTAAATTTACACAGCAAAATACTCATGGAAGAGAAATAAACTCATTCCATATATGTCAACATGACTAGATCTCAACAATACTTGGTTAGTGAAAAAAACTGTTCAGTAGTACATACAATATAACACTATATTAAATCTCTCTCATACATACAAGCACACAAAATAAGGCTTGGATTTATAGATATGTAAGAGGTTTGCAAAGAAAAAGAGACAGAGGATTAGGGAGGTGGCCAAAAGGATACATATTTTAGCTTTAACTGATGTTTTAGTTTTTAGAAGGAAAATATTTGTGTATTGCTTGCATAACTAAAAATACAAATAACATGTAGTTGAATACATGTGCACAAGAATACAACATGTATTCAAGAATGTTTGAAGGCATAAATACATGAAAGCATGCAAGAATTTATGTAGGAATGTTTAAACACAAGATGAAGTATATGGAAAAATCATTGATGAGTCTAAGTATTCATAAATGCATTCATACATTTTAAAAAATCATATGCTATCATGAACAAACTGATCACAAATACAATAGCATATGTCTGCATGTAAGATGAGAAAATGAATTTATACATGAATATAACTTATGGATGAATGATTCTATTAGTGAATACATAGAAGAATGCAGCAATATCTAAATGCTTGAACACTTCAGTGCGTGACTGCATAAATGCATGAGTTAATGTCATGGATTAATGAGTACAGAGAGCAATGCACCAATGTCTAAATGCTTGAGCATGTCAATGCATGAATGCATACATTCATGAAGTAATGCATAATGACCAAAAAGGGGGGCTGTGGAGAGAACAAATGAGGCACGTAAATTTCACTCGGCACTGGAGAAAACAGAGGGTAAACTGGAACAATAAATCTTCATTATCTATATGCTAAAAACCCAGGAAGGCTACAGGAATATTGGCCAATGAGAGCTAGTCAGGAAGGTGGATTTCCATCAATGTTCTTCCAAGGCTTGACATCACTAAAGGAAGGGGAGTTCTGACGGTGAGCCTGGAGTCAGTGGGAGTGTGGCGCACTTGAAGGAAGGCAAGAGTATCTACTGTAGGAGAGGGGCACAGAAAAGAAACCACCACCTCCAGAAGCTCCACCATGCCTGTGCCCTGGCCTGGAGGGTGGCGAAGAGGACAAGCTGGTCCCACAAGTGGCAGGGACAGTGTGGCAGCAGCCAGTCTTCAGGATCCTGAAGAAGAGTCCAGGTGCCATTTATTTCACCATGGCTTAGATTTCTAAACCACCCCTTACACTTTCAACTGATCCTAATCTGAATGATCTTCAATAAAGACTTAAGTCATAGATATTCACCTACATAAATAATAAACGAGACCACACGCTTCATGTCCTGTTTCCAGAAAAGCCAAAGCACTTGGAAGATACAGTCTACTTCAATAAAACAGCAGCTTTCCCACCACAAATAGAATTCATGGGCCAAGGGGTGAGGATGGTATGCACCCTGCTTTATTTCCTAAATTCAGAACTTACATGAAATCAGAATTAAGACGCAAGATAGTTTTTAACCAACTAGGACGCTAATTTTCTCAGTTGCGGAATGACTGTTGACTCAGCTTATCTATGCCTCTATTTCCTTTTCCTGATATGAGGGATGGTAAGTAAAAAACACCTGTTCCTTGTGACAGTTATGAATGCATGTCATATGTACAACATTATGAATTATCTAATGTCACTGAACTGTACACTTAAAATGATTAAGATGGTCAACTTTATGTGTATTTTATCACAATAAAAAAATTGAAGCAATAAAACCCACAGAACGCCTGTTCAAGCGTACGTTTCTTTGAGTATGTGACTGTCTGTCTGTCTGCCCATCCATCCATCTATCCATCCATCCATCCATCCATCCATCCATGTTCTAAAATAGGTGGCATTAGCCCCATCCTGACAGCTGGGGATTGGGTAATCAGGCAGGTTTAGTTCACTCCCTCTCCACCCCAGCATCTGTAATCCCTTGGTCCCCAAGGCTGCCATTTACCTGTTGAGCAGAGGGGCACAGGTAACACTGGCTTGCATTACTGAAGAACACATTGATGAGCTTCCAGTCAAATTGAAAGTCAAGTTGCTGAATAAAAGGGCAACAGCATGAAAAGGAGATTGTGTTAAGACCTTGAACCAAAATAATGTCTTTGTTTTCATGTCTTTCCATTTCATACACCCATCCCTGAAAAACTCATGTATGAATTTTTTTCAATAGTAGTATATGGCAGGAGTTTAAAGTGGTATAACTGCTCTAGATTGATAAAATATATCCAAAACTTTTTTTTTAATTAAAAGACACACCTTTTGATCTAATTATTTGGATCTAATTATTTCATTTCCCCAAATATAGTTTAAGGAAACAAGGATACGTGAATGATTCAGCTACAATGATGAAGCCTTATGCATAAGAAGGAAAAACTGGAAACAACATAAATGTCCAAAAGAGGGGACTGCTGTGTAAACTGTGGAATACTCATGAGATGAAACACTATGTAGCTTTTAAAATGATGCTGAAAAATGTAATTATCATGGGAACTAATCTGTTGAGAAAATCTGTTTGAGGTTATAAAAAGTATCTCTGGCTGGGTGCAGTGGTTCATGCCTGTAATCCCAGCACTTTGGGAGGCCGAGTTGGGCGGATCACCTGAGGTTGGGAGTTCGAGACCAGCCTGACCAACATGGAGAAACCCCATCTCTATTAAAAATACAAAATTAGCCGGGCATGGTGGCACATGCCTGTAATCCCAGCTACTTGGGAGGCTGAGGCAGGACAATCACTTGAACCCGGGAGGTGGAAGTTGTGATGAAACGAGATCGCACCATTGCACTCCAGCCTGGGCAACAAGAGCGAAACTCTGTCTCAAAAAAACAAAACAAAACAAAACAAAAAACAAAAAACAACATCTTTATCCAGTAACATCCCTGTTTTATAAAATATATAAAGATATATATGCTAGGAAAAAATATGGAAGGTAATGTACACCAAGTTATTAACCATAATTATCTTTGGGTTATTAGGATTAAGGATGGTTTTACTTTTTGCTTATCTGTGTTTTCTGATTTTTTCGGTTATGAACATGCATTTCTTGTGTAACCAGAAAACAAACTTTGCTTTTTAAGAGGCAGCACGATGTAGTTGAGGAACACTGGACTGTGAAGCAGGCACTTTAGATTTGGGCTCTAATTAGCCGTGTGAACTTGCACAGGTCACATGACTTCTGGGAACTTCAGTTTCCTCATCTGGAAAATTACAGGGTTAGACCCAGGATCTCTTCTCTATTTTATAGAATAATCATTATTTCAGAAATTCTGGAATTCTCCTGTTCAAGGAAAACAAACTTTATGGTGTAGCTCCTGCTCTAATCCCTGTCCTTATATGCCTTAGAATGACCTTCACTTCACTTCCTGAACGCTTTAATGCATGCATGGCTGGCTGAAACAGCAGCTTCCCTTGGTTCCAGCAGTCCAGGCTCAGTGCTTAGTTAGATACAGTTTGCTAGCAAGGCTTGCCTTGGTTTGATACTTGCCCATAAGGGCAACACAAAAGATCTAAGGATGCTTATTACAAATTTATATAGGTTATCGAGTAAATAGTATACGAACTGTTAGGAGAGTGGTACCAAGGCACCCAGCATGTATGTGACAGAGGCCTCCACACTCAGAACTAAAATTAATATGGTAATTATTAATAACAGCAATCGCCACTACAATAATATAAAAGCCTGTAGCTTGCATTGTTATGTATTGAGTCTGTGTCAGGCACATCCAATACCTCATTTAATGCTCCCAAAACCCTTTGCTGCAGCTCTTTTATCACCCCATTTCATAAACAGAAAAACTGAGGTTTAGGGAGGTAAGTGCCTTACCCAACATCATACAGCTAATAGATGGAGAATTCAAGATTCAAACTCAAACCAGTCTCACCTGGAACTGAAGCTCTCCACCACCTCCCTGTGGGACAAGTCATTTAGTCCATCTGCTGACTTTCAGCACGACCACAAGGAAAACCATTCTGAAGAGGATGGGTCCTTTTGGCTGAGCATTATCACTCGTCCTGTAATTTCAGCACTTTAGGAGGCCGAGGCGGGCAGATGGCTTGAGCCCAGGAGTTTGAGATCAGCCTGGGCAACATGGCAAAACCCCGTCTCTACCAAAAATATAAAAATTAGCCAGTCTCATAACTGGTCTCAAAATAAATAAATAAATAAATAAAAATAAACAACAACAAAAAAGAATTGGTCCTTTCCTCTAATGACCGCCAGAGAATGGCAGAGACATTTTTTAAAGAACCCAGGTCACACTAGTTGCCGAGTTCATGGTAAAATGGTACGAGGGTCATCATCACTTCGGTCTGCCCGCCTTGCAGCAAAGCCAGGCAGCCCAGCCATGCCAGAGTTGGACGGATGCTTACCAGGTTCTCTTTCATGTTTCTCACCAGTTCTTGAGCCTGAATCCACAAGTCTCTGTGCAGAGGGAGGGAAACAGAGAAAAATTGGCTAAATATTATTTTGTTAAGGGCTGGAAGCTTGCCCCTTGCCATAGCTCAGGTGTCAGTCTCTAAGCTTTATCCACCCCTGGCTTCTGAAGGGTGGGCATTGACCTGTTTTTCAAAATTAGGCTCATCAGGCAGCCTGAAATCAGCTTGAGGGGGCATTTGGGCTTTGACTTAAATACTTCTATTTTTAAGCCTCTTTGACTTTGCCAGCCCCCCAAATCCTCCCACCTATATGTTGAAGACCAGTAGGAACACATAACCTCAGAGAGAGACAGAAAGGGAACTTACTCAGCACCATCGTGGGGTATGACTCTCTTTCCAGTGTGGCACACAGGCATTGGAACAGAAGGACTGAAATATCTGATGATGTCTGAAAGGACTAAAGAGAGAACTGGTTTGAGGCCCTGGCCTTCACCAGCTGAAGGCCACCTCTAAAGACTGACCTACCTACTGCCAGGAGTGGTGGCTCATGCCTATAATCTCAGTACCTTGGGAGGCTGAGGCAGGAGGATCACTTGAGCCCAAGAGTTTGAGACCAGGCAGGGCAACAGAGCAAAACCCTGTCTCTATGAAAACAAAAATCAGCCGGGTGTGGTGGTGCTCACCTGTGGTCATAGCTACTTAGGTGGCTGAGGCAGGAGGATGGCTTGAGCCCAGGAGGTCAAGACTGCAGTGAGCTGTGTTTGTGCCACTGCACTCCAGCCTGGGCAACAGAGCAAGACCCTATTTCAAAAAAAAAAAAAAAAAAAAAAAAGACTGACTCCCTTCCTCTAGGGTGAGCTGCCGGGGTCGCCGCCCCTATTCCAAGGCATGGTCCTTCCTCACACCCTGCCTGGGACTGTGAGGCCACCCCTGTAGCCTCTGTGAGGCTATCTGTACCTCTGGAGCAGGCCTCTGGAAGTGAAGGAGCTAAAAATGAACATCTATAAAATGCTAGGCCAGGCCCAGTCCTAAGCGCTTTACATGCGTTATCTCACTTAATCCTCAGTAACAAACACAGGGCAATATGATCTCCAAGTTAGAGAAAGGGAAAACTGAGACTGAGAAAAATCAAGCGAGCTGCCCAGGGTCTCACAGCTAACTGAGGTTGCTGGGGTTTGAACCAGAGTTCTGGGACACCAAGGCTTTTCACTGTCATGTGCTACTGCCTCATTAGAGAAAGTGATGCTGGGACAGGGACTCGGGCTGCCTTCCAGCCCCCCTCCCTTCTCCTGAGAGTGACAGCAGGGTGGGAAAGCTCCAGGGAACATGCAGAGAACATGTCCCAGAGCTGACAGCCAGAGGACCGCTAAAAATAGTGCTGTCAGGAGCAGTTAAGTTGTGTCTTGCTCCTGAGAGGGAAGAGGGCAGAGCGGGGAGAGAGTGTCATGGGAGGCAGATGCCTCCACTCCTCCCCCCAACTCCCCTTTCTTTTTGCCCCATCCAGAAGTGCCTCGGGGCTTCCTGGGAGCAGAATCCAGAAGGTGGCTTTAAAGGGGCTCCCTGTGAAGGAGGCTGACACTGTGCAGGCAGCAGGCAGGGTGCGGGTGGGAGAGCTGGCCTGGAAGTCAGGGGACTGGTCACTTGGCTTTGCAACCTTGGGCAGCCTCCTAACTCGTGGGTGATTCAATTTTCCCCATCCTTAACCCAAAATAATGAACTTCATTCTCTAACCCCCGATTGGCTTGCAAAGAAACACTTTTCCACCTGTAGTGGGAAAGCGGGGAAAGTTCTGAGCTGGGTTCAGGTTTACAGGGACAGCATGAATGTGTGCATGGGTGAGGGGTACTCTTGCTCCCTCATCTGAGGATAGTCTGTAAGGATCAATGACAAAATACAAATATTTGGTGATAGGTCTGAAAGAGATTGCTTTCTGAATGAAAGGTACCTGTGTCAGTGCTTTGTGATCAAACATGACGTTGGATCTTTTCACGTAAATTTGCCAGTCATTTTGTTTTAAGTCTGCTGTGTACTTGGTCTGTCCTCACTGCCTCCAAGTTCCCTGGCAGCAGTGGGGTGAGAACAAAGGGCACAGCCTGTGGGGCTGGGTTCACAGGGACCATGCCACTTACTGAGCACATAGCCTCAGGAAAGTCCATTTACCTCCCTGACACTCAGCTTTGCCACCCACAAAATGGCCATGGTGGGCGAGGGCATGGCTACGTTTGGAGATCTCAAAGATCAGGAGGCCTCTAAAGTTCTGAGATTGATGGTCAGGTGGGCTGAGCCTGAGCCAGCCCCATCCCATGCTGCACAGCACAGGCCTGGATGTCCCTAGAGTACTTTCTTCTGGGAAGACCTGCTCCTCCTGCTGGCTCAGCCACCCAGCTGAGCTTGCAGCTGTGGTCTCCACTCCTCCCTCCTTCCCCATTGGGTATGCTGGAGTAAGGCCTGCCTCGGAGGGCTTCAGAAGCAAGATCTGCCCTCACACCTGCTTTCTGCGGGACCTCTGGCCAGCTGGGACTCCTGGCCCCTCTGCTTAGAGAGGGGCACTCAGACTTGTAACAGGGCAAATTGGGAGGAAAAATTGAGACGAACTGAGAAATTAGGCAAAGAGGCATCTGCATTTGTGGCTTCAGGGTCTAAACTATATCCTATCTTCCCAGACACCCCCCAAACAAGCCGCTTCTTTTTTCCTACCACTTCAAGACAAACAGGGCCAAGCCTAGGCACAGCTGTGATAGCCACGGAGTTGGTAATGGGCCTCCCCTTTCAGAACCCTTTGATTCTCTCCAAGGGGACCCTCCTGCCTACCGCTTTGGCCACCAACATCCTCTCACCTGTCAATCAGATCCAGGAGGGCTGAACTGCCAGGCTCAACCTTCCCTGCTGGACCATGAGTTCTGTAAGGCAGGGCCAGCATCCTGTTCATCCCTGTGCTTTCCAGGGAACCTAACAATTCATGGGCCCCTCCTTTCAATTCACTGGCTGAATTGACAGGGCACTAGCTGCCTCACTTGTTCATTACTCCCATGGAGCACCAGCTCAGCAGAGCACTTGCATTGTAATCTACGTCTTCTTGCTCTAATACGGACGGCGAAGTGGTTTCCCTTATTCTTGATTTATGAGCACCAAGCATAGGAGACTAACATCCCGCTAGGCTGACCCAGCTGCTGTTAAAGGACTTAACTTCAGGGTGACTTAACAGAATTATAAGGAATCTCTGATATTATATTTTAAAAAAACTAAATTATGATAGTATATTCGCAAGCACATTTGTAAATCAAAAGGCCAAAATGCTAACAATAATTATCTCTAGATAGTGGGATTATAGTTGACTTTTATTTTTTTCATTTCATTTGCCTGAACCCAACTGATGTCTTGTATTTTACAAGCAAGGGCAATATTACAGGATAAAATAGACTGGAAATTCGGCTGGGTCCTCCCCTTGGGTGGGAGGAGTGAACCACGGGCATTTTCCCTGGATGAAGTCTAGCCCTGGGTCTGGGTGGGCAGGAAACTCAGGACTCTGGCCCCGACACCCATTCCAGCTGGCCCCTAAGCCCTCTCCTAGGTTCCCCAATCTTAACCCAATGCCCACTGGCTTCTGTTTGCCCAGAGACCCTGGATACATTTCGCACACCCCCATTCAGGGTTTGTGATTTTTCATATCCTGGCTTCCTGATCTGTCCTCTCAGAACACCGTCCCCTTTCTCCTGGGCTCCAGTGATAAAGTGGCTGGTGGTGTCCATTCTCTTTATTAGAGAGGATGCTGCTGTGTTGGGAAGGAGAGGGGCACTCTGAAATCTGGCCGTGAAAACCACAACTCACCTGTCATCACTCCCATGCACACCTGCTGTGGCCTTTCAGTCCTGCAGGTAGAAGCAGGCATGTGAGTGTCAGGCTGCATTTGTGTCACCTGCCAATAGCCCTTCCCCTTGGCTGTGGTCTATTTCATAGTAGTCTTTGGCCTAGCCTTGCTCTGGTTCTGGGATTATCCTCCCAGGGGTTATAGGCACACCTCAAGTGGCCATGGAGTAGCCAAAATGGGGAAAACAGCTCTCTCTGGACCCTCCTCCGCTCCTCCAACCCGCTCTCATCTGGTCCAAAGCTGCAAGGGGAAACTGACCCCAGGGTAGAATGAGACTGAGCCTGGCCCCAGCCCTGCATGGTTCCCCAAGAGCAGAGCAAGTAGAGCTTGTGGGGAGAAATAAGCACTCCCTCTATTAGCCTTTCCCACTTCTCCTCATTCACCCCAAGGACCCACTGGGGTTCTCAGGCAGAGGAAGGGTTAGACAAGGAGGCAGGAGGCTGGGTTCTGGGAGCTTCTCTGCTACCTTCTCAGAGGGTAGCCTTGAGCAAGGCACTGAGCCTCCCTGGCCTCCAATCTTTCCCATTAATAAGGCAAGAAGATTAGATGGGAGCATCTCCGGGCTCCTTTCTGTTTTCTGTGTTTTCAGGATAGTTACCAGTCTTGCTTCTCCAGATCGCCCGTCCCTGGGTCTGGAGGCTGGAATAGATACTCAATGTTAACACCCAGCCAGGGGAGGTGGCAGAGCCTCTTCTAGTTAGACCGCAAGCTGCCTGTCAGAACTCCCCCTCCTGCCAGTAAGAGGGAACCTACAAGCCCAGGCTTGGTGGCTCACACCTGTAATCCCAGCACTTTGGGAGGCTGAGCACAGGGAGGATCACGTGAGATCAAGAGTTCAAGACCAGCCTGGCCAATATGACGAAACCCCATCTCTACTAAAAAATACAAAAATTAGCCAGGTGTTGTGGCACATGCCCATAATCCCAGCTACTTGGGAGGCTGAGGCAGGAGAATCGCTTGAACCCAGGAGGCAGAGGTTGCAGCAAGCCAAGATGGTGCCACTGCACTCCAGCCTGGGCCATAGAATGAGACACTGTCTCAAAAAAAAAAAAAAAAAAAAAGAGAGAGAGAGAGAGAACCTACAGAGAAAGATGAAGGCTCCTTCTGCAGGGAGGAAAAGTTCTTGGCTTCCTCTGCAGCATGTTTGTCAGACCTTGGAGCGATGGAAGGTGTGGGACGTTTTCCTCCACTTAGATTTCAATGCCCCCTAAAGTCATTAACTTTCTCCATAGAAACAAATGATTGTTTTATTATGACCCTCCAAAATCTAGAATTTATTTAACTCTCCCCCTACTAGACATAAGAGCCATGAAGGCAGGAATGTGTCCATTTTGTACTTAACTATGTTCCTTGGACCTAGAACAGTGCCTGGGTGTGTTGTAAGTATTTAACAAATATATGTTGAATCCATATTTTTGGAACGAACAAGGTAAGTTTCCGATTTCCCCCTTGGTAAAATGCTGGGCAACATAGGACTTGAGCTCTCTGCTGAAGTTCCTAAGTCTAGGACTAGATTTGAGACCGTGGTAACTTGACTGGGAATCACGTCCTTTTGTAAGCTCCCAGAAAGCTTGGAATTGTGCCCAGGACATATAAAATACTTAGCAAATCTTAGCTCTCCTTGGTTGTATTATTTTCAGTTTCTGATGTGAATTTTCTCTCTCAAAATTCCTAGAAGACAGTATCTCCAGGTGTGGTGGTGACAGGCAGACAGCTACACCGCGTCACCTACTCCAGCCTGCACCACTTCCCTTTAAAGGGCCCATCTGTCCTGACCACCCAGCCACAATGAGCACCTGCCTATAGACCTAGGTCACGTCTCTGCAGCTCTCCAGGTAGGACAGGCTGACTGGGAAATCTCACTAATTGGAGACAGCGTCCTTTGCTCCTCAATAAGAGACAGGAGATAAATCTCCCAGGGAGACAAACAAATCACACTAAGATACAAGTCAGGGATTATTTAAAAAGACACCCGACAGGTTAGGTAATGAGGGGAGCAGGCCTCCTGGGGCTGTGGCAAATTGGACAGCCTGGGCCCAAGCAAAGGGGGCACCCCCCAGAGTCATTTTTCAAGAGGAGCTGGAAATGTGAACACTTACTTGAAGTCTGATTTCAGTGTTGGCAGCTGATTCAATTAAAGACAAAGCGTCACTTAGGACCATCAATTTGCTTCTGGTAATTAATTGATAGATCACCCCTCCCCTGCAAATGAACTTGATTGGAGGAGAGGGTGGTAAAGAGAGATGTTGGGAGGAAAGAGGAGAGAATAAGAGGAACAAGGCCAGGAGAGGGGGTTGGGGGAAGGGCTCAGAGGGCAGCCACAGAGAGGGGAGGCTGTGGCTAACCCAGCAAACTCCACGTCCCCATCGTGCCCACTCCCAGCCACTTTCCCTTCACACTCTTTGTTTGCTGAATGTGTGCCTTATGGCAGATACTGTGACCCTGGGGCTGCAAAGCTAAGTAAGACACAGGCTCTACCCTCAAGGAATTTGATAGAGTGAATTGTAACCTCCTTGGCAAGGAAAAATATCTATGACACTGAGTTAGAAAAAAAAAAAAAAAAAAAAAAACCTCGCAGATAAGATATTGCAGTATGACCCTATTTAGGTTTTATATATACACCCTATTTCCCTATGTATTGCTATACATTGGAGAATGAGAATGTATATATGTGTGTGCACGTGTGTATGTTTGTTGAGGTAGAGGAATAAAAGATGTGAACAGGGTCTTCTATTGTGCGTACATCTGTTTTTTCTTATATTGAACATGTGTCACAAGTGTTATTTGCAGAACTTCTACAAACATTTACATAACTGATTTTTGAAGTTCTACAAGGAAAAGGGGGTCTATAGCAATTAACAAATGCTAGTTGTAGTTCCAAAGAAGTGCGTATACCTAGGTTACAGAATGCTCCAGGCACTCAAGGCAGAGATGTCAGCACTATGGACTTTTTTCTTCTTAAATTCACTGTCTTCCATTATTTTGCCCTGGTCTAGCTTTTAAAATACACACCCCAGGTAAGTTCATGATGGCCCTCTCTCTCTTAGGACAGACAGCGGAAGAAGGCTTGCAAGGAATTGTGCTTTCAGGTTTTTATCCTGAAGTTCGAGGTACCCGTCAGTGCACAGACAATGATCCTGGGGCTGGGAGGTCATCCTGATGGAGTCGTGTTCCTGAGAAGGGGGGGCCGAGTGACAGCAGGAGCTGTCAGCCCTGAATAATTCATGGACAAAGAGCTCTTTCCGAGATGAGACCAAGGAGTGCAAGTCACTGACGGGCTTAAAGTTAGAGACCAACGCTGGGCGGAGATTTCCCTGCCCCAGGCAGAAGGACCCGAGAGTCCTGTGGCAAGTGTGTCCCACATCCTGGGCTCTGGGATGTAAATATCGGTGTGCACAGACACACAGGTGTAGCAAAGTCAGCCTGCTATCTGGGACATGAAACCTCTTTTCTCACTTATTTCCATCCAATTTCACCTCTTATCAAGGGTAACCCTCCACCCCCACCCTGACCAACACCACAGTCACAAGTGCAATTTAAAAACCATCAGCATCGATAAGAGAGAATGCGGGTGGGGAGCTCTGCCTGCTTTCAGTGGGCCTACAGTTGGTTTCCTAAGGTTCAGTCTATACCTCTACACACCACCATCTCCTCACCCTTCTTTCTGTTATACCCATTTCCCTCATTTACAATTGTGATCAGGGTGAAGTTCTAGGTCTGGCCAGCTTCATCCAGTGCTCAAGCAGAGGTGGCATTGATAAATGTGGTGAGGCTAACACTGTCTAGGGCAGGGAGTCCAAGCCAAGTTCCAGAGAGGTAGAAACTGGTTATTTGAGATGAGGAGAAGGTAGAAGACAGGTCCAAGGTCTCTGGGGACATTGAGTGGACTGGCACTGTGCATGGAGTGGTGGGCTGGGGCTTGCAGCTACAAGGGGAAGGGGCTGAGGTTGCAGGGAGTGCAGGCTGCTGCAGGGATGGGGGAGGATGCTGGGAAGGAATCATGGGAGGCGGAGTGGGGAGGGAGGCTCTGGGGGAGAAAGAGTATCCTGGTTCAGGCGTGGGAGGTACAGTAGGGCTCTGAGCAGGGTGGAGACTGATAAGGAAGTGTTCTATCCAGCTGGGGCTGCTGAGATCGGGGGCAGCAAGGCTGTGGAGCTTTGCTAAGACCAGGAGAGGGGCTGTGGGGAAATGCTGACATTCTCCTTTGCTCTCCTACCTTCTTCTATCCAGATCCCTCTTTCTCTGTTCATCCCTTTCTCCTTTTGTCTTTTTCTTTCTTTCTCCCTTATTTGACCAAATAAAATATACCACTTAGAATTTATTAACAACAAGTGCATGAAAAGATGTTCAACATACTAATCATCAGGGAAATGCAAATCAAAACCACCATGAGACATCACCTCATACCCATTAGGATGCCTACTATTAAAAACCAACCAACCACAACCAACCAACCCCAGAAAACAGGCATTGGTGAGGATGTGGAGAAATTAGAACCCTTGTGCACTGTTGGTGGGAATATAAAATAGTGCAGTCACTATGGAAAATAGTGTGGTGATTTCTCAAAGAGTTTTAAAAATAGAATTACTATATGGTCCAGCAATCCCACGTCTGGGTGTATATATCCAAAAGAAATGAAAGCAGGGACTTGAACAGATATTTGTACACCCAAGTTCATAGCAGCATTGTTTGCAACAGCCAAGAGGTGGAGGCAACCCAAGTGTCCACTGACGGGTGAATGAATAAATGAAATCTGATCTAGATATACAAGGAAAGAGCATTCATCCTTAAGAAAGGAAGGGAAATCTGGCATATGGATGAACCCTGAGGACATTATGCTAAGTGAAGCCAGTCACAAAAAGACAAATACTGTATGATTTCACTTATATGAAACATTAAGTGTATGATTTCTTTTTTGTTTTGTTTTTTTAAGACAGAGTTTTGCTCTTGTTTCCCAGGCCGGAGTGCAATGGCATGATCTCAGCTCACTGCAACTTCTGCCTCCTGGGTTCAAGCGATTCTCCTGCCTCAGCCTCCCAAGTAGCTGGGATTACAGGTGCCCACGACCATGCCCGGCTAATTTTTTTCTATTTTTAGTAAAGATGGGGTTTCACCATGTTGGACAGGCTGGTCCCAAACTCCTGACCTCAAGTGATCTGCCCACCTCAGCCTCCCAAAATGCTGGGATTACAGGTGTGAGCCACCACACCTGGCCAATTTCACTTATATGAGGTACCTAGAACTGCCAAAACAGAGAGGGAAAGTAGAATGGTAGTTGCCAGGGGCTGTGAGAAGAGGAGAATGAGATGTTATTTCATGGGTAGAGTGTTTCAGTTTTGCTAAATGAAAAAGTTCTGGAGATCAGTTGCACAATAACGTGAATATATTTAACACTAGTGAACTATACACTTACAGATGGTAAATTTGTGTTCTATGTATTTACCACAATTGCAAACAAAATTTAAAAAGTTATTTACAAAGATCGGTGTGTTTTTAAAAATTTACAAATCAGGTAAGAAAATTTATCTTAAAAAATTTAAAAGATTACTTTTAAAATTCTGTGTGATCTTTGATTTAATGTATTAATGGATTTAATTTATTAATGGGAAACCCCAAAAGTTTCCTCACCTTGATGTAAAGAGAGGCATTCATTTGATTTAAAAAAAAAAAAAAGATTCGGCTGGGCGCAGTGGCTCACGCCTGTAATCCCAGCACTTTGGGGGGCCAAGGCGGGCAGATTACCTGAGGTCAGGAGTTCGAGACTAGCCTGACCAACATGGAGAAACTCTGTCTCTACTAAAAATACAAAACTAGCCAGGCATGGTGGCGCATGCCTGTAATCCCAGCTACTCGGGAGGCTGAGGCAGGAGAATCACTTGAACCCGGGAAACGGAGGTTGTGGTCAGCCAAGGTTGCGCCATTACACTCCAGCCCGGGTGACAGAGTGAGACTGTCTCAAAAATAAATAAATAAATAAATAATAAAATAAAATAAAAATAAAAAGATTCAACCTCCTGGATTTATCTAGTTCACATGATGTTCTCTCCCAAAATGAAACGTTCTGCCCAGTTACCAGGAGCCCATTCAGAGGATCATCAGTACCAAACTCTGTCTCCTGCCCCAAGCTACTTCAAATACTCACAATTTCCAGATTGCCAATGGCTGCCACAAATTTAATATCAGAAGGCTTCAGAGAGTGAACTGTGGAGACAAGAACCCATATAGGAAGGTCAGATCTACATTCCCCATGATGTCGGCCAAGGATACCGTATGGGAGAGGAGACTCACATTCCCCAGCCCCTGGACAGCTGCGGAGGTCCAGTCTGTTGGCCATGGAAGTGGAATGCCAAAGACCAGGCAGTGCCTGGGAACCCTAGGAATCCTGCCAGAAAGACACCCGCTCCCCTCTGGGAGCCACACTGTTAACTGGACTTGAGCTGTCCAAACAGGTGACCCATGGAAGGTCACTCATGGCCTTCATTTTCCCCTCACCTGGACCCCATTCTGCCTCTCACTTCCTTCTGTCCCACAGTCCTGCATTTCTGGGCCACCACGAATGAGAGGACAACACATTAAGAATAAAACCACCTGGTTACCAAAAGGATCACTTTAGCTTGAAGATTGCCAGAGAATAGCATTCAAAGCCTGTGAACACATATCCACACCAGATGCAAGCTGTATGCAAATGCCACACAAGGAAGTGGAAATCTCCTGGACCCACTTGAGTGATTGGCATCTTTAGCAATGAAGTCTCCCTAGAAATCACTGATCATACTCCCTGGTCACGTTATAGATCATTTACATGTAAGCCACCTAAAGAAGACATTTCCTTAAAAGTGCATCAATTTCTTTTTCAACCTAAAGTCCTTATATAACAGTAAGAATAGCATGCTTAACTGGAAACCCCAGTCAAGGCAGAATAGTACAAACATAAATCTATTAAATATGGTCTGGTCTGTAATGCAGCCTCTCAATATGATAAAGTCAGGGAAGAAGGCCCACTCAAGAGAATTCATAGCATCCAGGTCATTAGACAAACCCAGCCCATTGTGGGGAAAAAGGTCCAGAGCTGCCATTGTACTACATTACAAGAATAGGGAAGCCCCATGAATGGCCAAGCTCTAACTCACAGTTCCCACAACACCATCCACCCACAGGAAGGCAAGATCCTGGAGATTACCCTCATCCAAGCAAGCCACTGTGGAAATATGACAGATGACTGGGAAATCATCTGTCACACTGAGGGACTGAGGATAAGGAAGAGGAGGACTTGAAGGGGCAACAGGTCCAAGAAGAATAGGGTTAGAGCCTCTGCTGGCCACTTCAGAGAGAAAACGCCAGGCTTTTCCTGCTCATGGCCAAGGGTTACATACCTGATTTAGAAGGCATATTCACTCCTAATTTATTTGGGTTGCATGGGAATGGAGAATTCTTCAGGGTCTGCAATTGAAAACGAACATCAGAAACATCAACTGCCTTGTATAGAAATATTGCAGGTCCTGAAAACTTGGTGTAGAAATGATCATGTACTCATTCTATCTAGGCTCAAAATCTAGAAACAACAATTGCCCATAGTCATTTTCTCCTAACCCCATACCCAGTTCATCTGGTAAAAGCGTACATAAGTCTATTGACAATGACTTTAACAGGTGGCAAGAATGCCTCAGAACAGTGGAGTAGAGAGGGAAGAAAGATGAAGAAGAATGAGAAAGTTCTAGAAATGGGGCTGGGCACGGTGGCTCATGCCTATAATCCCAACAGTTTGGCAGGCTGACGTAGGAGGATCACTTGAGATCAGGAGTTTGAGACCAGCCTGGCTAACATGGCGAAATTTTGTCTCTACTAAAAATACGAAATACAAAAATACAGAAATTAGTGGTGGCGTGTGCCTGTAATCCCAGTTACTTGGGAGGCTGAGGCACGAGAATCACTTGAACCGGGAGGCGAAGGCTGCCATGAGCTGAGATCATGCCACTGCCCTGCAGCCTGGGCAACAAACACAGCAAGACTCTGTCTCAAAAAAAAAAAAAAAAAAGAGAAAGTTCTAGAAAGGGATGGCAGTGATGGTTGCACAGTAATGTAAAGTACTTAATGCTACTGAATTGTGCACTCAAACATGGTTAAAATGATAACTTTTGTATATATTTTACTAGTGAAAAGAAGTAATTAAGACTCAGGAAAAGAAGTAATTAAGACTCAAGATACCTTGACTAAAACAAGAAAAAATAATCAATCCCGTTTTATATTTATTTTATATTCCATGCTATATTTACCTACTTACCATCTTTTAATTTGATAACTTATACAAAATTAAGTATATGAGGCATTATGTTTATTTGTTGCCAAAAACTGGGTACACTTGAAACTGGGAGACTCTCATGTCCCTACCAGAGTGTCCTGAGCCTGGAGGAAGGAATTGGTGACCAGTACTCAGGTCCTCAAGACCACTTGGACCTCCTCAGCTGCTGGTACTGGGTCCGGGGCAGCTTCTGCTTTTGTGAATACCATGGAAGGCTCTGGGAAGTGAGATTGTGTCTTTTCCCCCAAAAATTGAGAGTGGAAGCGGGGGAATACTCCAATAGGGAAAAACATGCAGTAAATGAGGTGATTGAGGACATCTCACTTCACAAGAAAACACAGTTTCTCTTGAAGTACTGATTACGGTAAGAAACCACAGCATTTACTCTCAGCTCTTATCTTATGGATGTTCTGGGAAGACCTCACCCAGATTCCTTCAGATAACTCCCAACATCTGCTTCAAGGTTCATGGAGATAACAAGCCCATTTATAACTCCTTCTGGACACTTCTGGGAACCGCCCATTCAGTCTGCAGGGATGATGAGCTCCAAATTCCAGGACACACACTCTGCCGGACACCCCGGCTGTCCATGGGGGAAGCGGTTCATCCAGCCCATTCCCTCAAGGCCTCAGGAAGGGGCCTGTCAACTTGCACCAAAACTTGGGTTTACCCACTACAAGGAAAATCCTCCCTCTCCCCTCCATACACACGCACCTCCCACCAGCCAAAGCCCTTACCTCTGGCCATAGCTGCCCTTCCAATGTACTCTTTCTAGGAGAGGTATGGATCTGAGGGGTCCCTGAAAGAAAGCAGAAATAGTTCAAGTTATTTAGCTGGAATTAACTCCCACCCAAATTTGTAGCTTTCATGCCCTTCCTCCTAGCCATATCTGTGTGCCCAGCTCAGTAATGTCCACTGTGTTAGGGAAGCCCAGATTCTATTTGTCCAGCTATCCCCTCCATTGTGTGGGACACCGTGCTTCCATTAACACAACCCATTAGGGCAGAATCCCCAGGTGAAAAAGCAAAAGTGTTATCTGGGAGGGGTCAGCAATAACATTATATCATGCACAAGCACATTATCACAGATTGCTTTTTGGGCTCCTTGGCAAAGGGCAGAACCCACAAAGAAGGTAATGTCAGACAAACAGTTACTGTTGTTGCAGATCCAAGACAAAGCAGGGAAGGCAAAGGACATTATAAAATAGTTTGAAGGGTAATGTGATCTTAGGAGAAGAGCTAATCACAGGATTCCTAGCAGCCATGACTGTACTAAGTACCTGGACAGGGGCTGTATCGAGGGGTCTTGCTGAACGTGAGGAGTAAGGGGAAGAAAAGGCAGGTAGGGAGATGGCAAAGCCACTGTCCTTGTCCCAGCTTACTTTTGGTCAGTCTTTAAAAACATTTATTATTTTTTACTTTTTAAAAGTGTAATTGACTTACAATAAATTAAATTCATTTTAAGTGTACACGTAGATAAGTTTTCCCATGTTTTTTATCTACACAAATTATAGTATTTTTAAATTAACAGCACCCTAAATTTAAAAAGCGGAAAAAAACACCCACAATGCTATGCCTCTTACAATCAAAAGTGATTTTGTTTGTTCATTTTTTCATGACCATAGTCAGGCACATGTTTTATTCAGTTATAATCTGTGTGCATGCAAATTTGTATCCTGCAAACTTCCTTTGACGTATCATGAGCATTTTAAATGTTGTTACATAATTTTGATGCTTATTTCAATAGCTACACAATACATTAATGATACTGAGATTTAATCAGAGGTCAGGGTACCTTACTTCCTCTGACTTCTCCCCACCCAATGCCTGCCCAGGGTACATCTTCCTTATAAGCGCATGCGATACAAGAACCCCCAAACAACATTAGCAATGCCAAAAGGAAGCCTGACTTGGGCAACAGGGATTGATTTCTTTTCCACCACAGCCTTCTTCTGCAGCTTTACTTTTTGACCCTGAAAATAATTTATTAGAGTTTCATGAAGAACAACAGTATATGTCCATTTTATGCCCACTGTGAGATCAGGCACTGATTTCCACATTAGAGCTTGCACAAGGAATGATGACTGGAATCCGCCTCCAGATCGCAGCGATTCCTTTGAAATTCCCAGAAGCAAGCTTTCTGGGCAGAAAGGGCCACATGACGGGAAGGCATAGAAGTGTGGACAAGCACAAAGTGCTGGAAAAGGCTGGCATAGGTGTTTGTAACTGGAGGCCAGGGAAGTGGTGGGCAGGGGGGATGAGGCTGCACAGACAGATGGTAGCTGGGCTGGGGAGCCACAAATGCCAGGCTAGTCCATGAGCAACAGGGAGCTGTGACCAGTCTCTGAAGAGATGATTTTAAGGTGATCATCACTCCAGGGGGAGTGGAATAGAGGAGTTAGCAGGGCAGAGATTTGAGACTATTTTGGTAATTTTCTTTCTAAGCCAGGATAAAAATGTAAATGGTAGCCAACACAAATACAGCTTCTATGTGCCAGGCACTGTTCTAAGCACTTATGTGAACTAATTCATTTAATCCTCATGACAACTTTATGAGATAAATATCATCATCCCCACTTTACAGACAGAAAACTGAGGCCCCAAAAGGTTAAATGGCCTTTTAAAGGTGGCAAGGCATGGTGGCTCATGCCTGTAATCCCAGCACTTTGGGAAGTGGAAATGGAATGACTGCTTGATCTCAGGAATTTGAGACCAGCCTGGGCAACATAATGAGAACCCATCTCTAAAAAAATAAAAAAATAAAATAAAAATAGAAAAAGATGACATTGCTAGCAAATGGTGATGGTGGGCTTTGAAAACAGGCAGTCTGGCTCATCTGACTCCATGAGCCATGCTTGTAATCAAGAAGCTAAGTGTAAGCCACATGCCCAAGGTCTAGACCAGGGCCAGCAGACTTTTTCTATATAGGGCCAGAAAGTCAATATTTTAGATTTTACTCACCATATGGTCTCTATTGAAACTACTCAACTCTGCTGCTGTAGTATGAAAGCAGCCATGGACAACATGTAAACAAATTAAATTTATTTATAGTGACTGAAGTTTGAATTCCATATAATTTTCATGCATCACAAAATATTCTTTTTATTTTTTGGAACCATTAAAAGACGTAGAAACCTTTGTGGATATCAAGAAACTGATTCTAAAATTTATATTAAGAGGCAAACGACCTAGAAGAGCCAACACAATATTGAAGAAGAACAAAGTTAGAAGACTGATACTATCTGACTCCAGGATTGAAGATAAAGCTACTGTGATCAAGACAGTGTGACTGGCAAAAGAATAACCAACTAGATCAATGAGACAGAATACAGAGCCCAGAAATAAACCCACTTAAATAGAGTCAACAGATCTTTGACTAAGGAGCAAAGGCAATATTACAGAGAAGAGACAGTCTTTTCAACAAATGATGCTGGAACAACAATTTTTTAATTAAAAGAAAATCACTCCTCAAAAGCTTTTGGACCCCTTCTTTAAATAGTAGCATTCTAAAACAAATTTTATGACAGCTAATATACTCAGCACTCTACTATTAAGTTTTAAAAAATGAATTAAATAAGCAGAAGATCTAACCCAGTGCCTGTACAAAGTATATGTTGAAATACATTAATTATGATGAAAGATGCTCTCATTTGATTATCAAAACAATCCAGGGAAATAGATGGCATTATTAGTATAATTTTATAGCAGCAAGAGTTTTAAATGTTGTTTAGAGGGTTGGGGCTGGGTCCAGAGTTTACTGCTGACTCCGGAATTCAAAGGTTTTAATAGGGCTCAAAAGAGGATGTTTCTGAAGACAACAGGTGGAGCCCCACATCTTTTCCTAAAACTGTAATGGAATCTTCTAGGTCTTTTATTTTTTCTGCTGCACTCCCGCATTCTGTTAGGCACTCCCACACTCTCTGTGTGGTGTGTATGTGTGTGTGCCTGCGTGCAAGTGTCTGTTCAAAATTATAAAAGTAGCAAGAATTTGAGAAGTCAGGACCCCAAAGAGAAAATAAGTACAGAGAGTGGGCTCAGCATTTGATACCAGTTTTATCCTTGAAGCATTTGTCAAATCATGAGCAACAGAAATCAGCAGCCAAGAGGCTAAGACACTGAGCAGAGCTTCAGGCAGTTCAATGGAACTGGGGGAAAACACTGAGTTTGGCACCCATTGAGGAGGGGGGACCCTGATGAATATCCCAGGCTTTCAAGTGGGACTTAAAACAGACCTTTGGAGTAGGGATAAACTAGAAATGCGCTGATCTGTAAAAAGTCTAAAGACCAGACTTGAATAAGTTTGATTCCTGATTAGATAAAAGTGATCTGTTCCTCCCTAACTGCCTGCCAAAAGCAAAAGGAAAACCTATATGGATGAAAATACTACCAGCCAGAGCATGAAAATTATCTTTTATATACAATGCCTGGCTTTCCATTAAAAAATTACCAGGAGACAACATTAAATAAACCATAGTCAAGAGAAAATTTAAAAACACAACAGACAACAGATTAGTGAAAAGCAGTGGACTAATATGGAAATAAATGAAGGAAATCCATAATCTTTCCAGCTCATGTTTTGTACCCAGTTACAGCAAGAGGTGGTCCAATCAGAAATTTAATGGGGCAATCTAGGAAATAAGAAGTACTGAGATATGCTCCTCACATATTCCCTGAGTAACTGGAAATTGATGTATGTGCCAGAAAGACTGAAAGAGCCACATGTAAATCTAAAACCAAGAGAGACTTAAGAATTGGCTACAACTTCGTGCTCATTCCCTAACCTGCATACACAGCAAGCAACAGAACATTATGGTCTCAAGGTGTTTGAGCACAACCTCTGTGCAAATCATTGACTGACCACTAAACCATGCAGACTCAAGGGTGACTCCTAGGATGCCAGGCCAACAAAAAAAAAAAAAGAAGAAAGAAAAAAAAACTGAGCAAAGACATCAGTGGTTAGCTGCACACAATTAGAGAGACAGATTTCACAGTTTAAGTCCAGGCAAGTTATTAAAAAACAAATTGACGACCCTCAGAAAAATAAAAACAGAATCCAGAATTGCTATGTTTGATCAAACATGTCTAGTCTTCAAACAAAAGTTACCAGGCATGGCTTGACATGAAACACCAGTCCCAGATGAAGAAAAAAGGCAATCAATGGAAACTAAGTTGACACAGATGTTGGATTTCACAGGCAAAGTCTTCAAAGCAGCTATTATATGTATTTGAAGAATTAAATACAGCCATGAAGACAATGACAACAAATAGAAGTGATATAAAATGGAAATTCTGGAGTTGAGAAGTACACTAACTGAAATGAAAGATTCACTAGGTGGGCTCAGTAGCAGGCTTGAGATAACAGAATAAAAGATCAGTAAACTTAAAGATAGTAAGTATATTTCTAAAAAATACAGAGGAAAAAAGATTGAAGAATAACAACCTAAGAGATCTGTGGACAGTGTCAAACATAAAAACATACATGTAATATGAGCCCCAGAAGAAGAAGAGAGAGAGAGATGGGTGGGGGGAGGGCAGGAAATGATTTAAAGATAAAATGGCTAGGCTGAGGTGGGTGGATCACCTGAGGTAAGGAGTTTGAGACCAGCCTGGCCAACATGGTGAAACCTCATCTCTACTAAAAAAAAAAAAAAAAAAGTTAGCCAGGCACGGTGGTAGGTGCCTGTAATCCCAGCTACTTGGAAGGCTGAAGCAGGAGAATTACTTGAACCCAGGAGGCAGAGATTGCAGTGAGCCAAGATCATGCCATTGCACTCCAGCCTGAGCAACAGAGCAAAACTCCATCTCAAAAAAAAAAAAAAGATAAAATGGCTGAAAACTTCCCAAACCTCCCACATTTGATGAAAAATATCAAACCACAGATTCAACAAGCTGAAAGAACGTTAAGTAGGATAAGCACAGAGAATCTTACTTAGACACATCAACTATAATAGTCTATGTATCTAGGTGTAGTTCTAAAACCAAAGAAAAATTTTGAAAGCAGCAGGAGTAAAACTCTTCGAGTACAGGAGACCAATATTAAGATCAGCCTGACTTCTCAACAGCAACAATGGAAGGCAAAAGGCAGTGGAAAAGGAAAATGATCCCAGTTGGGACGTTGGTGATGTAAAAAGGAATGAAGTACAGAAAGAATAAATATGTAGGTAAACCTAAAATAATATTTACTGTACAAACTGGAGACCAGCCAACTATGACCCATAAGTCAAATCTGCCCACAGCCTATTTTTATATGTCCCTCTAGACAAGAATCATTCTTAAATTTTTAAAGTGTCATTAGAAAAAAAAACACAAAGAATGTGATAGAAAATATATGTGACTCATAAAATCTCAAATATTTACAACCTTTTCAGAAAAAGTTTGCCAACCCTAATATAAATAAAAATAATATATTTTGGAGTTTAAAAGACATGAAACAAATTGCTTTGTGGGCAGATTTGGATGGAATAAATGGAGTTAAACTGTTATAAGATTTTCCCCTTATCAAGTGGTAAAAGTACTGATTTATATTAGACTTTAATAAGTCAAGGGTGCATGTTATCACTTTAAACACCAAAATAATGATAAAAATTGTATAATCCACAAGCTAGTGTTGGGCAGGATGAGGTGGTGAAACCTAAACAATAAAAATACTTAATCCTAAAGGAGGCAAGATATCAGGTGAAGGCCAGGCACAGTGGCTCATGCTTGTAATCTCAATGCTTTGAGAGACCGAGGTGGAAGGATTACTCCAGCCCAGGAATTCAAGACCAGCCTAAGCAACATGGTGAAACCCTGTCTCTACAAAACACACACACACACACACACACACACAATTATCTGAGTGTGGTGGTGCATGCCTATAGTCCCAGCTACTCAGGAGGATCACTTGAGCCCAGGAGTTTGAGGTTTCAGTGAGCCGTGATCACATCATTGCACTCCAGCCTGGGTGGTAAAGTGAGACTCCATCTCAAAAAAAAAAAAAAAAGAGAGAGAAAAAGAAAAAAGAAAAAACAATCAGGAGTAAAGAACACAAAAAAGGTAGGGTGAATTGAAACATAGATATTTTATTTAAACAGAAGCTGAGGAGGGTGTATGAGAACTTCCTTCAGGATCTGATAGGTTGGATGCCAAGTGGGCTGGCCTTGCTCCATGTGGCTCTCAAACCAGGACTAGACCAGTGGAAGCAAGCTGCCCCTTGGCAGAATAGCTGGAGCTACCCAAACAAGAATGGGCTGCCAGGGCACTGGTCCAAGCAGAGAGTGGTGATCGTGAACATGTGGCACATACAGCAAGCAGAGGTTAAGAGCTTGGAAATCCTTAGTCTGATCAACTTCTCCAAGCCTTACTTTCCTCACCTATAAGGTGAGGTTGATAATACCTGCCCCATGGAGTTGCGTGAGGATTAAATGCATGTAAACATCCAGCACAGTGTCTGACTCATGGAAAGAACTCAGTAATTGTTAGTTATAATTTCAGCATAGACCATCTTTTAGATCCTTTCAGCCTCAATATTCTGGGATTTCTTCACATAACTAAATGCTCAGGAGTTCATGTTTTTACCTTGATGATGTGAGTCATCCATGATAACTGCTCTGGGGTGTCACAATAAAGCGTTCCTGGGATCTAAATGTTAAGCGTCCAGACCTGAAGATTCAAAGGGAAACTTGGTGCCTCTCACTTCTGGCCCCACTAACCCTTGGAGCGACATGGGCCGTCAATCTACTTCTCTGCTTTCACCAGGTACAGTGCCTGTTCCCACAGTACCCCAAGGTGCTGTGGAAGAAATTATTGAAGCACTGTGGCATCATCAAACCCCAATCATGGAATCCCAAGGGAACTCTCCCCTTTTGAAAGGTTGTTTTGACATCAAGCCCATGGATATATGAAGGGCTTTGAACTCTCTGAAAAATTCCCACCAGAGTCAGGGCAGTCAGGGGAAAAAAACAAGCACTTTTCTATCCTGATGGGAATGCAAGAAAAAAAACACTTGTGTATGCTCTGAGAAACAGGTTTGGCCGAGATCAGTCATCCAAGTTGGACAGGGCTGTGACCACTGGGGTCTGGAACCAACAAAGCACCATGGAGACATCAGGCTTTGACAAGGTAAAACCACATGTGCTTCTCCCTTAGGGGTTTACCTTCTAAAGCAGTGGCTCTCAGCCCATCACCTGCTACCTAGCCCCCAAATGCAGAGACTCAGATTTGACTGGCCTGGTGGGGCATGGGTATGCTGGGCACCAGAGTTTTTAAAAGCCCCTCCAGTAATGTTCACGTGCTTCCAAGGTTAAGAGCCTGACTCTACAAGGAAACCCAATGTGTGTTAGTCCAACAGCTGGCCACATACGGGTGGGGTGATTTCAAAAGCAAAATTAAAGCAGGGCATGCTCTCTTAATTTATGGATTTCCTTGATGTTCGTATACTTATGATGTGTCTGGAGTGCAATTTTCTAGCCCCTGTCCCTTCCTTGAGGGAATACAGCCATTTCATGACCTTGATTAAGCATCTAATCTATCTGAACATTGACTTCCTCATCTATAAAATGCAAATAGGACTAGCTTCCCTGTCTTCTTCATGAGGTCGTTATGAGGATCAAAGAACTGGAAAGGGTTGTGTAAGTGAGAGAGGGCCATACACAGGGAAGAGGTGACTTGTCTCCCTGGATGAAAGGAAGAAGCATCTCCTAGGCATCAGGGAGGACTTTCAAGGCCAACTCATGTGGCACTGAGGTCACTCTTCAGTGCACATTAAATTCTTGGGCTCTTTGAAAAGTTGTAATGCTCTCACTGTGACCTTAGGGGCAGGGTTTATGACCCTTTTGGCATTTTTACAGGCTCAGAGGGCCATAAGTGCATGCAGACCACACCAGCAAGGGTGTGGACCACACTGCTCTCCACTAAGCACTGAGCTGTGCTGGTGAGCTTGGAAGGGGAGGGCCCAAGTCAGCCAGTGTCATCTCCTGTGTGGTTTTGAATGATAAGCAGGTCCTGTGGGTGACTATGTGCTGCACTGCACAAGGTGGCTGTAAGCTGTCACCCTATGTGACCTATAGGGACTGTAGGATGCTGCATGGACCTGTGAGCAGGTGCTGCATGTGACTAGCTGTGGGTGCTGAGTCAGAAAACCATGAGTCATGCCTGGCTGACTGCTCCATTAAAATTCCAGGTGCTCTAAGGCGTATAGGATGTTAGCACAGCGTCCTGTCAGTGTGGTGCTTGGCCAGTCACGTGCTGCCACCAGTGGAAGGTGAGAATGGGGAGCAGAGAACCCTTCTGAGGTAGCTGGGTTGACCTCTGAATGTATGTCTCAGAATTCTAGAGGAGATGAGGTGAGCAGGCCTTCAAGATCATCTTGTTTACTAGATCCAGAGAGGCTAGCAAACCTGCCAAAGGCTATTCAGCAAGGTATAACAGAGCCATGTGTAGAACTGGATTCTCCTTAACCTAGTCAAGTACGCTTTCCCTGAGACCAAAGTCTCTTTGAAAGAAGGTTATAGAAAGACTTGTTACATGTGTTGTCTTCTATCCCGAATTTCCAGAAGAAATCTATTGTTTTGCCCTGTCTGTAGATCAGTATTTCCAGCTGTCCTTATTACCATTAGTCACTCTAGATTTACCATCAGGAATGCTGGCCAAAGAATGATTTAGGATCAACAATGTCACAACCTTTGGGTAGACACAACCTCTAGTCTGATTACAAAAAACATTCGAGATGGCTTGAAAAGTCTCAAACCATAATTAAATACTCTGTCCTGTACTGATGGTCCCAGAGAGACCACACCACCAATTACAGACCTCATTCCAGGCAGAGACCAGTGCACCCTCCTGTCTCCATCCTCTGATGCCCACAGATATCCAATATCATACACCCTGTGCCCCAAGGGAGGAAAGCAGTCCCAAAAGGAAATTACATATTCAAAGTTTATTTGTAGTTTTGCCCTTGGCCTCAGACAAGGGGATGCCTTACTTTTGCATCACATTTTCTTCAACTTCCTCATGGGATTGCTGTGGTTTGGATGTGTCCCCCAAAATTCATATGTTGGAAACTTGATCCCCAATGTAGCAGTGGTAGGAGGTGTGACCTATAACAGGTGACTAGGTTCTGCCCTCACAGATGGATTAATGTCATTATTGTGGGAGTGGTTTTGTTATAAAAGGATGAGTTTGGCCCCTTTTGTCTCTGTCGTACCCTCATTTGCCATTTTGCCTTCTGTCATGGGATGGCACAGCAAGAGGGCCCTCACCAGATGCCAGCCCCTCAATCTTGTACTTCCCAGCCTCCAGAACCATGAGACTAAAAATTTCTGTTCATTATAAATGACCCAGTCTGTGGTATTATAGCAGCACACTACAGACTAAGACAGGGACAGCTGAGGCCAACCCAGAGCCAGGAAGGAGCAACCTGTAGAAGACAGTCCCATGGTGAAGACGAACAAGCAGACCTTGACGATGGCAGGTTCCAGAGCCCTGACTCCTCCTATACTAATATCTTCCACAATCAGCAGCAGCTCTAGCTTCACCTCAGCCACCATTGGCCAGAACTTTAAACGGGACCTGGGATTCCTCAAAGCTGGATGGTGGCAGGTGTGTTGATCAGTAAGCCCCAACAAGAAGGGAGTCTCAGGAAGGGAGACCGTCAGGAAGGTTTCCTCCCAGAGACAACTGGGAAGTTGTGGTGTGAAGGAAGGGAGGCTTAGGACCCCTCATTCTCAGAGATGCAATAATGCAAAAGGAAATGGTGGCCTAAGGCTTGAAGAAAAGCACTTACCCTTCCCAGAGCCCAGCCAAATCCCTGCTGGGCCCCTTCCTATGATCCAGGGCTCTGTTCACCAAGGTGGTGCCTCTTTTGACTCATGACCTTTTATGTCTGGAGCTGGAGGACTCATCTTGCCCAAAATACCACTTGCGTCATGCCACTCCCCTGCTAAAGAACTTTCTACAGTTCCCCATTTCCCACTACAGCAAATTAAAATTCCACGCTTGCTGCATGACCTTAGGCCGGTCACTCCACCAGTTTAGTTTTTGTAAATGTAAAATAAAAGATTTGGATTCAATCATTTTAGAAGTCTCTTTAAGCTAAAAGGCACTCTGAAAAATCTCCTCTCTCCTTGCACCGGGGTTTAATTGTCCTACCTTAACCCCTCATTTTGCCCTACACCAACCCCACACTCCAGTTCAGCCAGCCTGCTCCTGTTCCTCAAACCCATCATTGCCATGCCCTCCCCTTGCCTGCCCTCTCTGCTCCTTGGTGTTTATCTCAGTCCCACTCACCCTTCAGTGAGCAATTGAGTTTCACCTCCCACATGAGATTCCTCCAGCCCACATTCATCTCTCAGCTCTCTGAATCCTGTTGCTTTTATTACAGCTGCTTGCACCTATTTTGGTGCTTAATTCTTCTCCAGTGATTTTATGCGGCTCCTTTCTCTCTCCCCAGAGGGTTCCTTAACATTTGATTTAGTAACTACCAGCCAGGCACAGCCCAACTTGGGTTTTTAGAAGGGTGCTCAGTTAACTGACAGTAACAAAAATGCAACTTGATGGAAATGATGATTGACAATAAAGTCCTAGAAATCTACAAGGCACAGATGACATCCCAGGAAAGTAGAACTTCTGAGCCTCTAGAGAAAACCCCATACCTGTGCTCAGTGTCCAAAGCAGACATTTGGAGACAAGTGTGTGAGGTGAAGTGAGGGTTGGGGATGGGGATGGAGGCATTGGGATGTAGAGTCTAACACCAGAGATTCGGGGATGGCTATGCCACCAACTAGGTGTGTGACCCAAGCAGGTTCTCCCTGATCTTGCATCAATAATTTGAAGGACTCAGGCCACCAAAAGTTCTCAAATATCCCTTTCTACTCTTATTTAGAAAGACTGTATTTCTAGAAGGCTTGGGAAAACTTCCTGCAGGAAGGGAAGGAAAGCCAACCTTCAGGAAGAACCCTGGGCTCTTGCAAAACAAATGTTACCTAGCTTGTTTTAGTAATGAAAAGGTATCCTTTTCTCACTCAATGAGTTCACCCAGCTCCCACCGTTGGTTTTGCATTGACAGGCCTGTCATGGGTACGTTACCAAGGCAACAAGTTTTTCCCACAGGCATGACAATCTTCTGGGAACTTCTGACCCATTCGAGGAAAATAAAATTCTAGCAGAAATGGTAATTTATTAGATACAATGATTTCTTGCCAACTTGCTTTTGCCGACTGCAGTTGAGTTAATGATATTTCAGTTTTATAAGCCAAAACATTCAAAGCAGGAATCTGTTTTCATATGTATTGCTTGTTGAGTCCATTTAAAAGTTTAAATAAAAGTCTAATTTTGGTTCTTCTCTCGAGCTCTATTATACTGTAAGGTAGCGAAAGGTGCTGGCCCTGGATCCAAGCTCAGGACTGACCTCAGCTTCCTGTACTAATTAGCTGGATGATTTTGGATAAGTTACCTAGCTTCTCAGTTTTCTCATCTGTAAAATGGGAAAAATAGCACAGACCATCTTAAAGGAAGGCTGTTATACATGAACTGTGCTTATCATAGAGCCTGGTTTTTCTAGGGAGCCTCACACCATGAATTTAGTTTGAAGTGATCCTCAAATGTGATAACATCCCCAGTGCCCAATAGAATGAACACTTATATCTTCTCTGAAGACATTCACCTTCATCCTAGGCCTCAAAGAATCTCATAAGTACATTTTCAAGGAGTCTGAGCACCATGCAATAAAAGATAACCAGGTATAGTACATAAAGAAATTAGGTACATATAAGCAAGAATCAGCAGGAGAACAAAAGAAACAGATCACAAAGACTTTGGATACTAAAATCATCAAAATTGTAAAATTTCAAAATGAATTTTTGTTGTTGTTGTTGTTGTTTTGTTTTTTTGAGACTGAGTCTCGCTCTGTTGCCCAGGCTGGAATGTAGTGGCCCAATCTCGGCTCACTGCAACCTCCACCTCCCAGGTTCAAGTAATTCTCCTGCCTCAACCTCCTGAGTATCGGGACTACAGGCACACACCACCATACCCAGCTAATTTTTGTATTTTCAGTAGAGATGGGGTTTCACCATGTTGGCCAGGCTGGTCTCGAACTCCTGACCTCAAGTGATCTGCCTGCCTCAGCCTCCCAAAGTGCTGGGATAACAGACGTGAGCCACTGCGCCTGGCCCTTACAATGACTATGTTTTTTAAAATAAGACAAACTTGAAGTTTTTATGGGAATCCAAAGTTATTTAATTACCAATTTGGTAAGAAACCAAATGTAAGTTAAATTTGAAAAATAAAATCACCAATTTTCAAAATCTTCAACGATCAGGTTTAACAGAAAATTAGACGCAACTGAAGGAGACTGAATAAGCTAGAAGATGTATCATAATAAATTACTTAGAATGCAGTGTAGAAAGACAAGAAGATGGTAAAGTTGGTAGAGAGGTGAAGAGACATGGTACATGGAGTGAGCAGGCCAAACGTTGTGCTGGCATTCCAGAAGGAAAAGGCAGAAATAATCAAGTAGAGGCAACATTTCAAGAGATACTGGTTGAGAATTTTTCAAAACTGATGGAAGTAATCAAGCCACAGATTCAGGATGTGCTAAAAAGGCCAAGCAAGATAAATTTACATAAATGAATGAACTGGAAAACAAACATACAATATAGACGATGGTATATTTTTCCAAAGATGGCCACAGCATTTCGTCTCATCCTGTATGCCCTTTTGCAGTGTGACTTTTGCCATTCTTCCCATCAAGAGGCAACGTCTATTTCCTTCACCTTGAATCCAGGCTACTACAGAAACTTGCATTGACTCATAGAAGCAGCAGAAATGACTTTGGGGACCGGACATTAGAAGGCTTTGTGGCTTCTATTTGTGCTCTTTTGGGACCTTGGGTCCCCATGTAAAGAAGTCCAGACTGCGCATACAGAAACAAAGGCCAAGGAGGGGAACACGAAGACACCCAGGTCCCAGTACCAAGTCCCCAGACATCTCATTTGGGACCCACCAAGTCAATCCCAGATGATACTATGTGGAACAGGGATGAGATGTTTCTGCTGAAGTCTTCCCAAGCTGCAGGTTCACAGAACTGTGAGTAAATGAAGTGGTTGCTACTGTAAGTCACTGAGATTTGGGGGTAGTTTGCTATGCCTCAATAGAGAACGGTGACATAGAAGATCAATAAAAGCCAGATATGGTGGCTCATGCCTGTAATCCCAACACTTTGAGAGGCTGTTGGATGATAGCTTGAGCCTAGGAGTTCAAGACCAGCCTGGGAAAGATAGTGAGACTCCCTCCCTACAAATTTTTTTTTTTTAATTAACAGGTGTGGTAGTATGCACCTGTGGTCCCAGCTACTTGGGAGCCTGGAGAGAGAGCAACTCTTGAGGCCCAGAGGTCGAGGCAGCAGTGAGCTGTGATCAGGCCACTGCACTCCAACCTGGACAGCAGAGTTAGACCTTTCTCAAAAAATAAAAAATAAAAATAAAAAATTGGTTTGAAAAAAATAATAAAGTAGACAAACCTCTGGTAAGATAAATCATAAATAATCAGTACCAGAAACAAAAAGGACATGACTACAGAAGCTACAGGTATTGAAGGGATAACAGAAAACCATACACAAATTTTATGCCAAACCACTTGCAAATTTACTCGAAATGGACACATTCCTAGAAAAAAAAACTTTCCAAAGTGGATTTAAGAAAAATAAAATATGACTAATTCTATAAGTGCTAAAGAAATTGAACCAGTAGTCAGAAATCTACCAAAAAATAATATTCCAGGCCCAGATGGCTTCATTGGCAAGTTCTACCAAACATTAAAAGGAAAAAAAATCCATTATTATTACAAACTATTCCAGAAAACAGAAAAATAGGAACACTCCCAAATTCATTTTATGAGACTGTAAAACATTGGTACCCAAATCCAGCAAGGGCAGAGAGAAAAAAGAAACTTATAACTCACTCTCATTCATGGGCATATAAGAAAAATAACCTGAAACAATTGTTAGCAAACTAAGCCTAGCAATATAAGGAAAGAGATACACCATGATCAACTTGATTTTACGCCAGCAATGGGTATACAATCCCAATGGATCATTCAGTATTAGCAAGTCTATTAATATAACTCAACATAATAGATCTAAGGGTAAATAATCATATGATTATTTCTATACATGCTGAAAAGGCCTTTAACAAAATTTAATATGAATTTCTGATGAATTAAAACTCAAGGATGTAGAAATTTATGGTTATTTCCTTAATATGAACACACACATATACATATGTTATGTATGTATGTATGATTCCCAAAGGCTATCATCTAACTGAATAGGAAAATATTCATTTCCCATTGCTTTTTGTAACCTTGAGACCACATGGTCCTTAAAAATATGAAAACATAATCAAATTACATTGTAATAAGATAAACTAAAATGTTTCTTACCTATGACATTTGCAAAAATTCTAAGTCTTGACTGCATGCTTTGTTGTCAATATAGCTTTATTGTCAAGCTATGAAAAAATAAGCAATTTCATATATATTGCTGGTAGGAATGCAAATTGGTACAATCCTTATGGAAGGAAATTTGGTAATACCTAACAAATCTATATGTGTGTTCACCCTCTGACCCAGAAATCCCAGTTCCAGGAATTTATCCTAAGTTAGATGTATAGCCTAGCATAAGCTGAACTTGAAAAAGATACATGCATGTGACTGTTCATGACAGTAGTATTTGTAATAGCAAAATATTGGAAACAACCTAATGGCCATGTTGGGAGGCTGGTGGTATATATGGTACATACTGGAATATTCTGCAGTTGGAAAAAAATAAAGATCTCTGAACTGATGTAGTATAATTTTCAGGACATATAATTAAGTAAAAAAATCAAAATGCAAAAAACATGTATAGTAGGTTATCTTGTGCAAGAATAAAGGAAAATAAGAATATATTTTCTCAAAAAGAAAAAGGATATTAAACTAATAAAATTGGTTACCTACAGGAATGACAGAAATGGGATAGAAAGGGTAGGGGAAGGGGATGGGACCTCTCTGAGTACATCTTTTCATATAGCTTCGACTTTTGAACAATGTTAATGTTTTATATATTGAAAAGACTTAGTAAAAAGCAAGAACAGAAGAAACACAAAATTAAATACAGACACACTTAACTGTATGCCACTAGGTTATATAATTACACAGAAAGAACAAAAAAAAATTCAAGTGATTCTGAACACAATATTTTGATTATACACCCTGAGTGGGATATATTCTAAAGGACGGAAGTATGGCAAAGGAATTTTGAACTTCATTTGTTGTTGGTGGTGTTGTCATAGCAATTCCAGTACTGTGTTGTATGTATTGTAGGATTCAGTAAGTGAGTAAATTCATTGATGTGTCTGTAACCCAGATTTGCACTGTGGGTGAAGGACAATACAAATATGGAATGAAAGAAGGAGATGAAAAAGTGTAATTCTACCTAAATTAAAGATAACTTTATAAATTTATTGGATGTTTTTAAAAAAGAAAACTACATTTCTTAGTTTTGTCACTGAAAGGGCCTAGACAATAACACTTCAGCATCAACAAACATTCCTAGCACCTGGACCTTGGTTTCTAAATAACACTCCCCTACCAATGGAAGCCTTGAAGAAACAGCTGATTCCAGGTTTGGGATAGAGGAAATACAAGGTTAGCAGGGAAAATCTTGTACCATGAAGTTTAAAAGTGCTTAAAAATTGATAGGGCCACAGAAGTTACCTTGAAGAGGCTCTCACTGGCCAAATCTGTAATAACTTTGGCATCAAAATGAAAAATAACAGGCCTGGATTACAACACACAGATTAATAAGAGTCCATAAGTGAATTTCTTTTCTTTTCTTTTCTTTTTTTTTGGAGACGGGGTCTCACTATATTGCCCGAGCTGGTCTCCAACTCCTGGGTTCAAGCTATCCTCCCTGCTTAGCCCCCCATAGATGAATTTCATATGAAAAAGATAAGACAAAAAGGAGGGGGGAGTTCAGTTAAATATTTATTTAAGTGGGGGAAAAAAGGGAATCTCTTTTTTATGGAGGAAACCCAACTGACAATAGCAGAAGGAAGAAGGAATGACAGAAAAATCACCATCTTCCAATCACCATGGTAAAAATTTAGGCAAGAAGTATCAATGGATGCTAAAAATCACTGGGAAAAAGGGTAATCACACAGTCTCACAGTATCTCCCTATGGATAATTTATAAACCACATGGGGCAGGTACCTTCACAAGGGAAAAAAGTCAGGCAGCCACACCTTCACCAAGTTATCAAATTTGGCATCACCAACTAGGGGATTCATGAACATCACTGTTTGTTGTTCATACACAAAAACCAGCTGAAGATGTTCACTGACACAAAAGAAACAAACAAAAAGCCGAGAGAACTATTCTTGATGAAAAGAGATTAAAGAGACAAGGCAAATAAATGCAACGTGTGGTCTCTGATAAATCTAATAAGCAATGACTGAAGAAATGAACAAAATAATAAAAAGTCAATTTATTTAATTCACAACATTAGCAGATAAAAGGAGTAAGTCACACAATCATCTCAATAAATACGGAAAAAGCATTAGATGAATTTCAACATCCACTTCTCATTTTAAAAAATCTCTTAGCAAATTTGGAATAAAGGTTTCTTAATCTCATAGAGCTTATCTACAAAAAAAGCCATTAGCAAACAGCACAATTACTGATGAGAAATTAAACATTTTCCTTTTTTTTTGAGACAGAGTCTGGCTCTGTCACTCAGGCTGGAGTACGGTGGTGCAATCTCGGCTTACTACAACCTCCACCTCCCAGGTTCAAGCAATTCTCCTGCCTCAACCTCCCGAACAGCTGGGATTACAGGCAACCGCCATCACGTCTGGCTAATTTTTGTATTTTTGTAGAGATAGGGTTTCACCATGTTGGTGAGGCTGGTCTCAAACTCCTGACCTCAGGTGATGCACCCACCTCGGCCTCCCAAAGTGCTAGGATTACAGGTGTGAGCCACCACGTCCAGCTTAACATTTTCCTTTTGAACTTGGGAATAATATAAGAATACCATCTTTGGTATCATCACCTCTTTAAAAAAAAAAAAAAAACTGTTGTGCAGGCACCAGCCGGCACAGTAAGATAAGAAAAAGAAATAAAGGCACACAGATTGAAGAGGAAGTAACAACACCGTCATTATTGGCAGGATTATGTGTGTTAGGTTGGTGCAAAAGTGAGTGCTATTTTGCCATTGCTTTGTTACAAAGCAATAGAGAACTAATCCAGACTTGAGCCTGGATTCTCTATTTTATTTTTTAAAAGGTCAGTTGGAACAACGCTATGTGCATTAGCTCTTCTGGTGGGAGCATTAAACAGCATTAAAAGTAATGGCAAAAACAGCAATCACTTTTGCACCAACCTAATAGAAAACCCAAAAGAATATATAAATTATTAAAATTTTTAAGTTTAGTTGAGTTCAAAATCAACACAAAATTCACTTTATTTCTATATATCAATAACAAACATTTCAAAATAAAAATTTTAAAACCCACTTGCCACACAACAAAAATATCTAAACCTAGGAATAAATTTAACAAAATATGTCCATGCCTGCAACAGAGAAAACTTTGAGAGGCATTAAAGATCTAAATACATGGTCAGGACTTGAAAGACTCAATATTGTAAAGATGTCTATTTTCCCCAACTTGATTCATAGAATTCAAAGCAATCTCTATCAAAATCCCAACAGGTTTTCTCCAGTGGAAATTGCCAAGCTGATAGTACAATTTACATGGAAATTCAAAGCCAAGGCACTTCTGAAGAAGAATCAAAAATAGGAAGACTTCTTTTCTCAAAAACAGAAGTTAATATAAAGCTACAGAATTAAGATAATGGGTTATTGGCCCTGAGATAGATAAGGACTAATAGAGCAAAAAAGAGAACTGACACAGATAGAAACATGCATGAATCCTTAATGTACAAACAGAGGTAGCTCTTCACAGTGGTAGGGAAACAACCGATTTTTCAATAAATGGTAGTGAGACAACTGGGTATCTGCATTTAAAAAAATGAGGGGCTGGATGTGGTGGCTCATACCTGTAATCCCAGTGCTTTAGAAGGCCAAGACAGGAGGATTGCTTGAGCCCAGGAGTTCGAGACTAGCCTGGGCAACATGGTGAAACTCCTTCTCTACAAAAAATACTAAAATTAGCCAGGCATGGTGGCATGTGCCTGAACACAATATTTTGATTATATAACCTGAGTGGGTGTGTGGTCCCAGCTACTTGGGAGGCTGAGGTGGGAGGATTACTTGAGCCTGGGAGGTTGAAGCTACAATAAGCCATAATTGCACCACTGCCCTCCAGCCTAGGTGACAGAGTGAGACTCTATCTCAAAAAGAAATAATAATAACAACATTGGGTTCCTCTCATATACTATTCATAAAAGTCAATCCCAGATGTAGGGTGATTGACTTAAACGAGAAAAGTAAATTTATAAAGCTTTTAGAAGGAAATATAAGATATCTTCATGACCTCGAGGTAGGAGAGGAGTTATTTAAGATACAAAGAGCACAAACCATAAAGGAAGATTTAAAATACATATACTTAAGAATAAAGGCCGGGCACGGTGGCTCACACCTGTAATCCCAGCTCTCTGGGAGGCCGAGGCAGGCAGATCACTTAAGATTAGGAGTTTGAGACCAGCCTGGCCAACATGGTGAAACCCTGTCTCTACTAAAAATACAAAAATTAGCCAGGCACGGCGGCAGGCACCTGTAATCCCAGCTACTCAGGAGGCTGAGGCAGGGGAATTGCTTGAACCTGGAGGGCAGAGGTTGCGGTAAGCTGAGACCAAGCCACTGCACTCCAGCCTGGGTGACACAGCCAGACTCTGTCTCAAAAAAAAAAAAAATAGAGAATATACAAATGGACAACGGTGGGACCACATATGATAACAGAACTCTGAGCCACAGTCTGCAATCGGCCAGGCCAGAGAACCAAACTGCAGCCTCTGCAGCAATCAGCCCAGAATGGTCAGGTTTGGTTAATGACTGCCATCTTCTCTATTTTTTGCTCTGCTTCCAACTCAGGACCCCTCAGAGAAAGCCAGATACACTCCCAACTGGATAACTTCAGATGCCGTGCCTCTAGTCAGCTGGTCCCTGATACCAACAACCTCCAACCAGAGCAGATCTGAAGATTTCCCTTTTTTCCACTGTGAAACTTTCCCACTCCCCTGCCTGCCTTTGAATCTTGGCCAAACATAAGTGATGTCTCGCTACAGCGAGCTCTGAATAAGTAGCCTCTGTTTGTCCTCATTTGGGTAGTCTACATTTATTTACACAAAATTAAGAATTTTGCTCATCAAAAGTCCCCATAGGAGGACAAGCTTCAGAGTGGAACAAGATATTTGTCATATATGTAACCTCCAAAGAGCTAGTACACAGCATATATGGAGAACTCCTAAAAAATCAATAGGAAAAAGACTTCAACAGGCACTTCACAAAAGAGAAACTCAAACAATCTCTATGAAAACACTCCTTGGCCTCATCAGTAATCAAAGAAATACAATCATCCTGTGCAGAAGGCATAGCAAGCATCGTCATTCTCCCCCACGGCTCAGAGCGGTAACTGACTTGCCCCAGAGAAGCCTCAAGCATGGGCTCAGACCCTAGGCAGGCCCAGGACTCTGTCCCATGCCTCCTCCACTCTCTCTGGGGAGTCAAGGGCAAGTGCCTTCTCACTCCAGACCCCGTCCTCTCATCTGGAGAAGATGAAAGATCTTTAAGGCCCTTTTCAGTTTAAAAGATTCTGCCTTCCTAAGCAAAGGGAGAGCCAATGATGGGAAGAAGAGGGGCAGAGAGGGATTGTGGCAGAGGCACAATCTACCCACAGTCATTAATGTTGGGGGGAATGGAAAGCCCTGGCTGGTTGCCCACTCAGTTCAATGAAAGCTCAGCACTCTGTTTAGCAGCACTAAAGAATGTAGGCAATCTTTTAGAATTTATCATCTGGAAATCTGTCTTCCTTTGTCCTTCAAAAACAAAACAAAGCTCATAAATGGTAATAGTAATGATCAAAATGTGCATAGTAGTAGTATTTCCATTTTAAGGATGAAAAAAATCAAGGTCCAGGGAGGTGGAAGAACTTGCCCAAAGCCACAAAGCACAAACAAATAGAATCCAGGGGTTTTTTTTGTACCATGGTACTGCTACCGGACTGCACTTCTCTCCTGTCCCAAGATCTGCCTCGCTCCCGGCAGCCTTTGGGACATGTAACCCTGTGTAGGCAGCCTCTGCATCCCATTCCGCAGGAGGCAAACCAGACTTCTTATTCTTGAACTGTACGCTTTGTGCTTTATCTCTTCAAAAGCACACACTCCTCTCACACACCCATTGCCTAAGCAACATGGGACACCAGCGGGGCTAAACCACTGGTTGTCCTCTGAGCAAAAGGCACGCTTACCTTGCCCCAGAAGCAGCAGCAGCTCCAGGAGGAAAATGCCTGGCCGCAGCCCCATGCCAGAATGCTCCAGGTGACTCGGGCCTCTGGAAGAGCTGCTCCAGCAGATGGATGGGCTATCACACCTCCTCCTGCTTTTATGTTCCTCTGTGTTCTGATAGAGCACCTGTCATAAATTTTACTGTGTTCACCTTTGAAAGGGGGTAGTGGCGGGCTGTAAATGATAAATATTAACACTTAGGCGGAAGAGTTCTTAAGGCAGATGAGTCAATGATGGGTAGCATGTTCTAGTCATAGACACTGACAGACCAGGGCCGCATAGCTGCCTCCATACAGCCTTCCATGATGGTGGGTGCCCAGAAATTGCCGGTGTTCGGGTCTGCTGGGAAGAACGTGGGCCTGGGAATCCCAGGTGCTGGTCGGAATTCCAAATCAACCACAGCTGTGGGAACTTGGGTGTATCCCTTAACGTGGCCTCAGCTTTCTCAGTTGTAAGCCAGGAGATCAAAAGTACCTTGTAACAAATGTAAACCATAAACCTACCTCCAAATGTGAAACGTGTTCCCACCGTGTCTCAGAAGCTCTGCTAGGTTCCCTGGTTTGCATGACACAGAGAGGTTTGTTCTGTTCCCCCCATCTCCAAACCCATGGGTGGCCAGTTGTGTTGGGTGGATGTGCACACCATAGATTTGTTGTCTGCATGTTGAATTCAGAGATACAAGCCAGAGAGGGGGAACCAAGTTTGACAAAATCAGCCGTTTCCTTTGGGTAAACTAAGTCAGGAATGCAGGCTGGGTCTAAACTGGGCAGACAAAGCTGGCATTTAAAGCCTGAGTGACAAATACCCTTGAGAGTAGAATTTAAATTTTTTACACAAATATCAAGAAACAATTGCCTTGGTTGATAGGAACAAATATATTTAAATTATCCTTGCTTTCTGGCCATGCTTGTGGGTGTGAGGCTGGGATCCTGACTTCTGAGGTCTAGCTAAGACTCTAGGGCTGGTTCCCATGACCCAACCTCAGATTCTGATCTCCTGGCTGACCCACTTTTCTCATATTTAAAAATCACAGCCAGACACAGTGGCTCACACCTGTGATCCCAGCACTTTGGAAGGCTAAAGAAGGAGGATTATTTGAACCCAGGAGTTTGAAAACCAGCCTGGGCAACTCCATCTCTACAAAAAATAAAAATAAATTAGCCAGGCATGGTGGCATGCACCTGTAGTCCCAGGTACTTGGGAGGCTGAGGCAAGAGGATTGCTTGAGCCCAAGAGTTCAAGGTTGCAGTGAGCTATGATTGCACCACTGCACTCCAGCCTGGACAAGAGCAAGATTCCATCTCAATTAAAAAAAAATTGTTTTTAATTACTGTTATAACCTCTATTGTCTTGAGTAGAAAGTGAAGACGAAGTGAGTGGCCCTTTGTTCCTGAATCTCTGGTTTTAGGATGTTGTCTCCCTTTCTCAACTGCTCAGAAAATATGTGACTTGTGGGTCACCACTGATTTAGCCAATGCCAAAGGCTTAGCCTAAGCCTCAGGACTGTAGGGGGGTATTGGGACATGCCAGAGGTGTGTGGACACTGACACACTTAGTCCAGCTGGCCATCAGCTAGTTCCAGAGCCTAGAAGAGGGCAGCACACACAGACACACAGAAAAGGAAGAAGAAAATACACCCAAGGCCAAGGTCTGTGGGGGACAAGTGAGCACAGATGCCCCTGGATATGTAGACACTTGTCAACTTCACCAAACTGCCCCCAAGTTCAATGAGAAGCCAGAGCTGCTGTCCCACTAAGGATGTCAGGAGTTTACCCAGCTCCATGCCACCAGCAGCTTTGAGGAGCATCACTGAACTTGCCTGGGCTGAATAGGCCAAGGTCCCCACTCATGTGCAGGCCAGCTGGAGGTGGGGTGGAAAGGACATGGGGCATGCGCAGAAGTAAGTTGGTTCCACGCTCCAGGTACTCGCTCCATCTCTTAACTGCTTCTCTCCAGGACTACCACAGCCCAACTGGGTTACCATCCTTCCTCTAACTCCTTTCACATTTAGAAAAATTGAGAAATGCCTTAAAAACATTTGAATGTTGGGAAGGCATTTTGGTATGGGATAGACTGGATGTCCTTTTAGGTAGAATAAATCTCTGAGTTCCATCCATGCATCAAGGAATCCTCACCAACTGTGAGGCTGTAGGGGAAGCAACATTTCTTAGACACTCTTTTTAAAAATTTTTTTGAAAAACAGAGATGAGGTCTCACTATACTGCCCAGGCTGGTCTTGAACTCTTGGGCTCAATCAATCCTCCCACCTTGGCCTCCCAAAGTGCCGCGTTTACAGGCATGAGCCACGTCGCCCAGCCTCTTGGCACCCTTACAGCATCGCAGCTTAACTGGCACCTACTATTTATGTGGTCTAGTAGCAGCTATGAAAACAAGGGGAAAGTCGTCTGAAGTCAAAGGCTCCATCACTTGTCCATAAACTTTTGTTCTCTGACTTTTGCTAGAAAATGTCCTAAGAGGACATGTCCTATAAAAGGGGATGAGAAATATTCTCCATTTCAGATTTTAGCAATAATCACCCAGGTGCTCCTTTTGGGAAAGGCACAGGCCCCTGAATTAGCATCTTTCAGGGATGGTAGCACATGCCTTGCTCAGAGGTTTCTTGGCCACTGAGAAGGCTAAGCATTCAGGCTGGGCACGGTGGCTCACGCCTGTAATCACAGCACTTTGGGAGGCCAACGCGGCTGGATCACAAGGTCAGGAGATTGAGACCATCCTGGCTAACATGGTGAAACCCCATCTCTACTAAAAATTAGCCAGGTGTGGTGGCGGGCGCCTGTAGGCCGAGCTACTTGGGAGGCTGAGGCAGGAGAATGGCGTGAACCTGGGAGATGGAGCTTGCAGTGAGCCGAGATTGCGCCACTGTACTCCAGCCTGGGCGACAGAGCAAGACTCCGTTTCAAAAAAACAAAACAAAACAAAACAAAAAAACACAGGTGAGCATTCGCTGTTGTCTAAGAATCCACAAGGAGGTGCTAGACTAAGCTCCTGGCACAGAGCCCACGTGGATTAAAGCAGTGTGGGCCTTCCAAGAGAATTTTTCCAAACTGGGGGTTTACAACCCATTATTATCCCATCAATCTGATTTGGTTAATGATCAGCCCATTTTAAAAAATGAAATCGAATGTAAAATATCTGAGGACATAGCAATGTAATAAGGGTAAGTAATGTATCGGGAAAACTTTTGTTTCAGCTACCTATAGTGATGCAATATGTTTTTCTTAATGTTTTTCTTTCAGTGGCCAAGAAACCTCTGAGCAAGGCATGTGCTACCATCCCTGAAAAAAAAAAAACTGAAAACCACCACAACTTTAGAGAGTAATAGATCCACAAAGAAATCCCTAGATTTTGAGAAAAATAAAACAGGTTTGCTTTTCCTTCTGGTTAAAGATGTAGCTAGACCCAATTCCCTTGTGTTAGGAGCTAGAAGCAATGTCTACAAAGGGCCCTGAGTCTTAGGAAGAAGCAAGCTTTTTTTTTTTTTTAAGAGACAGGGTCTTGTTCTGTTGCCCAGACTGGACTGCAGTAGTTATTCACATGCATTATCATTGCACACTATAGCCTTAAACTTCTGGCCTCAAGCAATCCTCCTGCCTCAGCTTCCTGAGCAGCTGGAATTATAGGTGCATGCCACCACACCCAGCTTCAGGTCAAGCTTTTTAATGACTGTAAACAGAGAGTAAATCAACTTGTCCTCTTCTTTCAACGAGGAAAATTTAGTCCCTGGCACCTGACTGAGCTCTGCCAATGTGATGGGAAGTGTGCACCAGCAGCCTGCCATCTTGGACAAGGACCCCTTGATGCCTGTTTTAGGAAGACAAACCACTGGAAGAGGGAGGGTACACACCAGAACTGTGGGAGGGGTGGAAGCAGAGTACCATATATCTCAGGGTAATCTGCATTATGGCAGTAATTCCCTGGGGATTTCCTGCCTCAAGTTTCAGCTTTTCTGAAGTTCCTACTGAACCTCACCCTGATGGCTTTGCATTGTTCATGCCTTCTGCATGGAGATGGTCCTATGTTCCCAGCAAGAGAGGGGCTGGGCCTTTCTCTTCCTACTATCTTAGCACCCTCAAAACTCTTCCCCCAGGAGCACCTAGCCCAGTGTTCTACACATACCAGGCCCCCCACAAATCTTTGTTCACTGGCTGAGTATTCTCCAGGAGCAAAGAAACAATTGGTTTAACTGGCCTGTGTTCTCCATCACCCCTACCACTCACAGAAGTAAAAGGAACCTTGGATTACGACTCTCCAAACCTGGCATATTACCTAGATGCCAGGGCTCCTGTGTATTTCCAATAAGACCTGGGTACATGCATGCAAAACACTGTCTAATGCAAGTAACTGGGCTGACTTAGCTTTCCTTGGGCAGAGGCTTTGCTTATAATCGAGATACTAAAGACAAGAAGAGCTTAATTAAGGGATGAAAAAAGAAGAGATAAAATGAAGAAGGTACTAGTAATATATTTCTAGAAAAAAATACAGTTTTCAAATATCACAGCCTTATTAATAAAAACAGAAACACTGACAGGGCAAATCCCAGCAGAATGCACCCTCCATGAGGGAAGGGACCTGGCCTGTCTTGTTCTTTGCTATGTTCCCAGCACCTAGCATACTGCCTGCCATAGCAGACATTTGTTGGATGTTGGATGAATAAATAAATAAATGAAACTCAGAATAAAAGGAAAGAGATCAAGACCACTATAAAAAGATCAGATCAGCAGAGTAGGATGTAAAAAGGAATAAAAGCATATTTTAGGATAGAAAGCTGAGGAAAAAGAGAGGTACATTGCCCAATACCATGAAGCATGATGGGAACAGACAATGGAGAAGTAACATGGGGATTCATGGGTCAAGCTCTTCCCCAAGGCCACAGCATTATTCTTCCACATAGTGGTTCTCAATCCTGGCTGCACACTGGAACCACCTGGGGAACTTTTTAAAAGAATACTCGTGCCCAGGCTTCACTCTCAGAGATTCTGATTTAGTTGGTCCAGGGTGGGACATGGGCATTGATCCTTTTTAAAGTTCATCAATAGATTCTGATGTGCAGTTAGGGCTAGAACCACTGTTCCAGTAGAGCCAGAGCTCTCAGGGACCTGCCTAGTGCCCAGCAGTGAGGGACAAGAGGGCTCCATGTCTGCTGTCTCGGACAAGGCAAAGGTTCACTGGACATAGCAGGATGCCAGGACAGGCTACTCAGCGCTGACAAAATCAGGCTGACCTGGCAGCCTCTCCAGATGGGAAACCCATGGAAAAGACACTGGGTAAAGTGCTAGGACTTCTCTCTGAGAGGTCAGGGAGTAGGCGGGAAAGGGCTGGTTTCTGGTGCCTGAGGAAGGCCCGTCACTGAGCACCAGGATGTGTGGGCTGGAGTCCCAGATCCACGGTGATGCCTATGATCACCCGCAGTCATTTCCTCTTCCTTATGCCTCTGTTTCCTCAGCTGTGAGACTGGCAGCATGGATTCCATTCTTTTGAATGCGGTGTAAGCTCATCTCATCCCTTCCCCACCGTGGCAGTGGCAATGTGATGGGAAGCCCAGGCATCCTCCAAGCCACACGGTTACTCTGCCTTTTGGTCCCTTTCTTTCTCCTCTCCCTCTTACCATTTCAGACTCAGGGCCTCCTAGACCCCCAGAGCCCTTTTAGCAATGACTGGGAACTTTATTAGTGCTTTGCTTCCCAACCTGTACTCCTCCCAACTCACGGAAGATGGTGATCTTTGAAGAGCACAGAAGGAAACCAGAGAAGGCAGTCTTTGGCCTGAGATGATCAGCTAGAGGTCCTAAACAGCCCCAAGCCCCTCCTGGCAGTCCTGAAGGGCCCGGAGGGTCAACATCTTTGGCCATCTGTAACCCACGGGAGCTCCTACAATCCAGGTCCAAATTTAAATACCATTTGTTGAGCACCTAGTAGGTGCCAGGCATCTTGTTATTCGAATTTATAAATGTTGTCTCATTTAATACCAGCTACATTCCTCAGGGCGTTAAGAGTCTCAACTAAGATCACCCAACTAGTAAGTTTAAAAGGAGGCTCTGATCCAAGTCTTCTCCCTGCATCCATTAATGTGTCCCCAGCGTGACTGTGAGCTGCACCTGTGAAATGTCCTGAACACCCGCAGGATGAAGCCGGGAAGGCTCTTGATTCTGAGCCAGCAAGGAGCAGCCCTCAGCTCATGCACCCACTTTTTAGGAGAGTCTGGACAATAGGCCCTTCTCTCCTGGACTCTGAGTCTGAGTAGAGCAGCCACTGCAATCATCATACAGCCTGGGCCACAGGGCCCCCACTACCCTGTGGAGGAAGCACCATTTGTCCTAGCAGAAGGCACCCGAAGAGCGTCCCCCTTAGTACCATCTCAGAAGGACCAGAGACCCAAACGGGATTCTCCCATCCATCCGAGCTTGTGGATGTCCGAGTGTGCCCCTTCCTTCTCCCCTTCTTGGGGAGAATCCCACCCAGTGGCAGGAAAGCAACTGGGACTAGGTCAGAACTGGTCAGTGAGCACCTGGACCTTAACAGCCACCTAGTCCAGTCCTCTTCCCATCGTACAGAGGAGGACACTGAGGCAAGGAAAGAGGCAGGCAAGGGCCTGTACTGGGTTTTGGGTTCCCTGATCCAAGCCCAGTGTTCTTTCCCACTCATGATACAAGACTGGATCACCATGGCCATGAGCAGCAGTGGTATTTCTACTCCAGTCTGACTGATAAGACAACCCCAAGAGGATTAGTAAGTTGCCTAAGGCTGCTCTGCGACTAAGGCAGAGGCCAGAACCCTTTCCTCTGTACCACAGCCAGGGAGTGGCCAAGTTCAAGCCATGGAGACTCAATACAGACCCTGTGCTAGCAGATACCGCATAAAACCCATGTCCACTCCATCTCCATTCTGGGGAGGGGGGTCCCATGGAGACAGGCTAGTATGGCTGCTGGGTCCTGGTACATGGGAGAAACTTCCCTGGATCTTTTAGAGCTGAAATCCCCTGTGTCCTGGTCCCACGTGGCAGGGCCAGGAGATGGCTCTGGGGAGAGAAGTGTTGTGAAATTTGATGCTCTGCCCACCAGGGGGATCCTGTAGGACCACCTGCTATGGGGCTAATCTTTCCCTCACTTAATTCCCTTTGCATTCTGTCCATGGGAGCTATAATCTGTCCTTCAAATCCAAAAGAAATAACCAAAGGCTCCTAGTCTTTCCCTGGGAATCTCATGTGCTCCAGACCACAATGGGAGGCTCCTGGCTCCAACAGCCCCAAGCATCAGGCACTGACCCCATATATCCCCCTGGCCTGTGTTCAGAGGAGATCATCTGCCCAGAAAAGCTTCCACTGGACAAGGGGTCCAGGGAGGAAAGACAGCCTTTCTAGCCCCAGCCATGGCAACTTACCAGCTGGGGAAATCTCTTTATCCTCACTGCAGTCACTCTGGAATGGGCCTCTGAGCCTTTGGCTGTGTAACAGGGGATTGAGGTGGCGTGGCATGGGATGGCATGGCATGGTGTCATCAGCTTGTTGGGGCTGAGCTGTCAACATCATCAGACACTGGCACGTGGGTGTTAATAGCTTTGGCAATGATGTGCAAGCTTGCTTGCTCTCCCAGCTACGCAGTCCCACTATTTACCTTGATGGCACTCCCTGGGGAGAGGGTGGTGGTATAAGAGTAGGCAGGAGAAGATGAGGTGAGACTGGGACTGGCGTCTGTCCCCAGGGCCCTGATGCAGACTGGCCACTAGGCCTGGCTAGGTAGAGAGATCTGTGCTGACCTCCAGCCATAGGGACATCGAGCTGGACTGGGCACAGCCCTGAGTTTACCATCTCAGCTGGCTCCATCCTGAGGGACTGCCTACCACCTCTGCCTCTGGGCACCACTAGCTGACATTGCAGCCTCCTGTTCCTTCCCCTCCTCCCCCTCCCCTCCCCCTCCCCTCCCCCTCCTTCTCCTCCTTCTCCTCCTCCTTCTCGTTCTTCTTTTTGAGACAGGGTCTCATTCTGTCACCCAGGCTAGGGTGCAGTGGCTCAATCTTGGCTCACTTGGCTCACTGCAACCTCTGCCTCCTGGGTTCAATCCATCCTCCCACCTCAACCTCCAAAGTACCTGGGACCACAGGTGTGTGCTACCATGCCAGGCTAATTTTTGTATTTTTTATAGAGACGGGGTTTCACCATGTTGCCCAGACTGATCTCGAACTCCTGTGCTCAAACCATCCACCCACCTCAGCCTCCCAAAGTGTTAGGATTACAGGCATGAGCCGCCATGCCCTGTTCCTCTCTTCCTTCATGGATTCGGTAAGGGCTTTGTTTGTAACTGCAAGGTTAGCACCCAAAGAGAAAACTTGAGGAAACAGAATTTTCAAATTCCACATCTTCTCCATTCTAATCCCTGCATATTTTCATAGTACAATCTTTCTGAAACAGACTCTGTCTTATAATCCACAAAAATGTTTAGAAACTTGCCACACAGAGAGCGGGTGGGAAAGCCAGATTTTCAATCCAGTTTTTGTGCAGCAAAAACTTGTGTCTCTTAACCCAAGACACAACACCGCATCACTTTTGTTCAGTTGGGTATGGTCCTTAACTGACTCTCAGAGGCCTTCTAGGAGTATGTGGGAGGAGGAGCATCCAGGGACACGGCTCTCCAGAGAGTGGCTGGAATCTCAGCGTGGTCTCTGTGGGAAGCCTGGATGCCTCCTTCTACCTCCTACTCACTTTCTTCTTTGCTTCTGAGACAGAGCTGCTCAGACCAAGTTTCCAATTGTTCCTCTCTGTTGACCTTGAGATCCATGTTTCCTTAGTCATCCTGAGACTCTGAGTTCTGTGCACCTTAACATTTCTTACCTGAATTTGTGTACAATCCCTTCCGGGTCAGCATCCATCACCAGGGTGACCTTTCTAAAACACCTTCTGCTTACTTGTCCCTACCCTTCAATGTGGCTTCTGCTCCCACCACACTACTAGAATTGCTTGAAGGTCAGTAATTTGTTCAATCCAATAAACAATGAGGTCCTCAGACCTCATCTTACTTGCCATCTCAGCAGCATTTCACAGCCAACCTCGGCCCCTACTCTTGGACAACTTGCCCTTGGCCTCCAGGCTTCCAGTTTCCTGGTTTCTTCTCTCCAGCAGTTCCTTCTTGGCCTCCTTTGCCAGCTCCTTCTCTGCTGCTGAAGTTCGTCTGGAGCCTCCTCTTTCTACCTGTCTCTCAAGGTGACCACATACACCCCATTGTTTACTTAAAAATCTATGTTGACCATTCCCCCATTTCAATTTCCAGTCGGACCTCTCTTCTAAGCTTCAAACCCCATAAACTCATTCATGGACTAAGTCTCCACTTTGATGTTTCAGAGGCACCTCAAACTCAAGGAGTTAAGAACCAAACATATGATCTTCCCTGACTCATTTGTAGCCCCATCGGATATGACAAAAGTGGCTCATGAAACCACTCACTGTTCTCCATCTCCACTGCCCCCAGATGGGCCCAGGCATCTGTCCCTGCTCCCCTGAACAGCTGCCCAGCTGCTCCATGTCTACACACGCTTGTTCCAGTCTTTTCGTTTTCACACACAACAGCCTGAACAATCTTGTCAAAGGGCAAACCTGATGTCACACCCTTGTATAAAACCCTCACCAGCTTCCCACTGCCCTGCAGATCAAGTCCAGCCATTGTAGTGTCACTTACAAGGCCCTGTGCTCCCTCCTCTCTCCAGCTTCAAGTCCCACTTGGCCCATCTTCTCTGACCTCAGGCTCACTGAGGCTCCATCATATTCTTAAAAATGTCATCCTTTTTGCATCCTGGCAGCCCTAATGTGTGCTGTTCCCTCTGCCCAGAACTCTCAGACTGTGTCAGTACCCTTCCCACCTCTTGACCTCCCTAATTCTCCTTCTGGTCTCAGTTGAAATATTTCTTCCTACAATGGGCCTTCTCTGGCCTAGTGAAAGAGATGCCCTGACCTCATGCTCCTCTGGCCCCCTGCACTTCTCCTCCAATACTCAGTGTGCTTTTAATTGCTTCTGTAAAGTCTATCCTGCCAGGTGTGGTGGCTCACACCTGTAATCCTAGCACTTTGGGAGGCCAAGGTGGGAGGATCGCTTGAGCCCAAGAGTTCAAGATCAGCCCAGGCAACATAGCAAGACCCCATCTCTACAAAAAATACAAAAATTAGCCAGGCGTGGTGTTGTGTGCCTGAGGTCGCAGCTACTCAGGAGGCTGAGGCAGGAGGATTGCTTGAGCCCAGGAGTTCGGGGCTACAGTGAGCTATGATCGGGTTGCTTCACTCCAGCCTGGGACAGAGCAAGACCCCCATCTTTTAAAATAAATAAATAAGATAAATAAATACAAATAAATAAAGTCTATCCTGTCTGTCCGATGGTAAATTCCAGGAGGGCAAGGACCATGTAGTTCACTGCTGTGTCCCCAGCACTTAGCACAGAGCCTGGTATCTGTAAGTGCTCAATAATTGCTGCATAGATGAATAAAATCCAGACCCACTTCAGTCACTCCCCCAGGGCCCTCGTGAACTGAATTAAGTTTTGTGTCACAGTGGCTTAACTCCTTTTCTCTCTGGCAGTTTGCTTATAGCTTCATTGCATAACTTATTTCACCTTGTTGGGGATCCAAAAATCAGCCAACTGGGGCTGCATCCTCTGCTGGAATGGGTATAGCCCATGTTTTATTCATCTCTAACTGCCTGCACAGTCCCCAGTATGGTGACTTTGCACAGTCCCCAGTATGGTGGCTTTGCACATGGTAGGAAACTGTGTCCCAAAAACTGCACTCTTGGGACTAAGAACAATATATTGCTGCACAAAGGGAGACCTACTTGGCCTCTCCATGGCCAGAATTCTGCCCCTCGTTCTTACCTCCCATCCTGCAGAGTTGATAAATCTCTTTAAATAGTCCTCCTAAAAACCAAGAAAATCTGAAATTTTTCCAGTCATGTAAATAAGGCTAGTGAACCAATCAAGGACTGTCAAATGTTTTGAAAGGTCAATTAGGGTCTCCCTCACTTTCAAAACTCCATCCCAATAGAACACCTGCCAATCAGAGACTGCCTTAGTATTTCCTCTTTTTTCTCTAAGAAACTTACTCTTCTTTCAGATACCTTTGAACCCCTGCTGAAACCAAAATGACTGCAGATGTTTCTTTGCGGATGCAAGTTTATAAATAAGTAGTCTTTGCTAATTTTGCCTTGGGTTTAGTTTTATTTTTGACTGTAATCTTGGTGCCATGACTCGGATCCCACCTGACCTGCTCATCGCTGTGGACCTTGGCTCTTAATCAGGTGGGAGCCCACCAAGGCCCCTTGAACCACACACTGACAAGTAAACCTGCCCTGGGCCTCAGCTCCATTATCTCTCTGGTTTTTTGTTTGTTTTTTGTTTTTTGTTTTTTTTGAGACAGGGCCTTGCTCTGTCACAGAGGCTGGAGTCCAGTGGCACAATCATGGCTCACTGCAACCCTCACCTCCGAGGCTCAAGTGATCCTCCCACCTCAGCCTCCCTAGTAGCTGGGACTACAGGCACATGCCACCATACTTGGCTTTTTTCTTTTTTTTGGTAGAGACAGGTTTCCACCATATTGCCCAGACTAGTCTTGAACTCCTGGGCTCAAGCTATCTGCCTGCCTCAGCCTCCCAAAATGCTAGGATTGCAGGTTGGCCACTGTGCCTGGCCAACTCCATGCTCTTTGTGCTGAGTTCCGTGGCTGTTTTATTTACTTGTAAAATCCAGTTATTTATATTTGGTTAATGTTTCCCTTTGGAGCTGCATCCTTGGTGATTTGCTTCCACCTGTCCCTTGTTTTTTCCTGTGTCCTTAAGTGTTATTTATTTGTTTATTTATTTAAAAAAAATTTTTTTTTGAGACAGAGTCTCACTCTTGCCCAGGCTGGAGTGCAATGGCATGATCTCAGCTCACTGCAACCTCCGCCTCCTGGGTTCAAGCAATTCTCCTGCCTCAGCCTCCTGAGTAGCTGGGATTACAGCCTCCTGCTACCACATCTGGCTAATTTTTTGTATTTTTAGTAGAGACAGGGTTTCACCATGTTGACCAGACTGGTCTTGAACTCGTGATCTCAGGTGATCCACCCGCCTCAGCCTCCAAAAGTGCTAGGGTTACAGGCGTGAGCCACTGCGCCCAGCCCTTAAGTGTTATTTAATTATGAGAAGGAAGAATTTAGAGTAGAACACAGGCATAGTTCCTATAATTTGGCTGTTTGAGACAGCCTTACAGACTAGAAAGTTTGCAGTTCCCTCCAGACCAACATCCTCTAAGAACAAACTTTGCTGTGGGTGACCAATAACACCTGATGAGATTATTTTCCCATCTTGGCTATTTGTCCTGAGAGCCTTGTTTGGATTCAGAGAGCACATTCCTTCTGACACATTCCACCTGCTAGGGACTCAAGACTGTTGGGTCTAAATTCTGAGGGGCTGACCATTAGGTCAGGGGCCCAAGACACTAAGTTGTCTAAACACCTTCAGCTGACTGTAACTTTCAACTGCAGTAACCAGGAGTCTTCCCAATCTAACCTCCCCCTCTGCAAAAAACTCCGCTTCTTACAGGTATCCACATGACCACCATAACTTCTATCTCTCTAAATGGCAGAATTTCACCAAGGATGTTTTGGCATTCAATGCACACTTTGGGGAACATTTAATTTCATTCAAACTGCTCATTTGAGAGGTGCCTTAAAACAAAAGAATAAAATTCCCCTGGCCCAAGTAGCACAGTTTTTTTTGTTGTTTTTTTTTTTTTTTGAGACGGGGTCTCACTCATTTTGTTGCCCAGGCTGGAGTGCAGTGGTGCAATCTCCACTCACTGCAACCACCATTTCCTGGGTTCAAGCGATTCTCCTGCTTCAGCCTCCCAAATAGCTGGGATAACAGGTGCGCACCACCACACCTGGCTAATTTTGTATTTTAGGTAGACGCGGGGTTTTGCCATGTTGGCCAGGCTGGTCTTGTCTAAATATTACATCTTATTGACGACCCCGAATAACCAAAACAATGTTGGAAATAAAGAACAAAGCTAGAGAACTCACACTTACTGATTTCAAAGCTTACTACGAAGCTATAGTAGTCAGAACACTGTGGTACTGGCATAAAGACAGACACATAGACCAATAGAATAGGATACACAGTCCAGAAACAAACCCTCTCATATATAGTTAAATGGTTTTCAGCAAGGGTGCAAGACCATTCAATGGAGGAAAGGACAGTCTTTTCAACAAATAATGCTGGGAAAACTGAATATCTCATGCAAACGAACGAAGCTGGGCCCTTACCTAATGCCATATACAAAAATGAACTCGAAATGGATCAAAGACCTAAATGTAAGACCAAAAACTCTAAAACTTTTAGGAGAAAGCATAGGGCAAAAGTTTTATGACATTGGATTTGGCAGTGATTTCTTGAATATGACACTAACAGACAGGAAATAAGGAAAAAATAGACAAATTGGACTTCATGAAAATTTAAAAGTTTTGTGCATCAAAAGACACTATCAATAGAATGAAAAGGCAATCTATGCAATGGGAGAAAATATTTGCAAATTATATATCTGATAAGGGATTGATATCCAGAATATACACAGGATGCCTAAGACTCAACAACAACAAAACAACCCAACTCAGTAATGAGCTAAGGACTTGGATAAACATTTCTCCAAGGAAGATATGCAAATGGTCAATAAGCACATGAAAAGATGCTTAACACCACTTATCACTAGAAAAATGTGCATCAAAACTACAATGAGATACTACCTCACACCCAGTTGATGGCTACTCTTTTTTTAAAAAAAGCAGAAAATAGATGTTGGGGAGGGTGTGGAGAAATTGGAACCCTTGTACATTATTGATAGGCATATAAAATGGCACAGCTACTGTGGAAAACAGTACAGTGGTTCCTCAAAATGTTAAAAATAGAATGATCATGTCAACCAGCAATTCTAGCTCTGTGTATTTATCCAAAGGAATTGAAAGCACGGTGTTGAAGAGATATGTGCACTCCTACATTCATAGCGGCATTATTCACAACGACTAAAACACGGAAGCAACCCAAGTGTCCACTGACTGATGACTAGATAAGCAAAATGTGGTATAGACATGCAATTGAATATTATTCAGTCTTTAAAAGGAAGGAAATTCTGACATATGCTACAATATGGATGAATCTTTTTTTATCTTTATTTTTAACAGGATATGGCCCTGTTGCCTAGGCTGAAGTGCAGTGGTGCAATCACTGCTCACTACAGCCTTGACTTCTCAGGCTCAAACGATCCTCCTACCTCAACCACCCAAGTAGCTGGGACTACAAGCACACACCACGGTCAGGCCTCTGAGCCCAAGCTAAGCCATCATATCCCCTGTGACCTGCACGTATACATCCAGATGGCCTGAAGCATCTGAAGATCCACAAAAGAAGTGAAAATAGCCTTAACTGATGACATTCCACCATTGTGATTTGTTTCTGCCCCACCCTAACTGATCAATGTACTTTGTAATCTCCCCCACCCTTAAGAAGGTTCTTTGTAATTCTCCCCACCCTTGAGAATGTACTTTGTGAGATCCATCCCCTGCCTGCAAAACAGCGCTCCTAACTCCACTGCCTATCCCAAAACCTATAAGAACTAATGATAATCCCACCACTCTTTGCTGACTCTCTTTTCGGACTCAGCCCACCTGCACCCAGGTGAAATAAATAGCCTTGTTGCTCACATAAAGCCTGTTTGGTGGTCTCATCACACGGACACGCGTGACAACCACTATACTCAGCTAATTCTTATTTTTTTATTTTTTATGGAGACAGAGTCTCACTATATTCAAGTCCAGGCTGGTCTCAAATTCCTGGGCTCAAGCAATCCTCCTGCCCTGGCCTCCAAAAGTGCTGGGATTACAGGCATGAGCCACTGTGCCTGGCCAACGTGGATGAATCTTGAGGACATTATGCTGAGTGAAATGATCCAGTCACAAAAGGACAAATCCTATATGATTCCACTTATATGAGGCACTCAGAATAGTCAAAATTGTAGTGACGGAAAGTAGAATGGTGGTGGCCAGGGACTGGAGGGAGGCAGGAAAGGAGAGTTACTGTTTAATGGCTGTAGAGTGTCATTTTTACAAGATGAAAAGAGTTACAGAGATGAACGCTAGTGGTGTTTGCACATTTTGAATGCATTAAAGGCCACTGAACTGCACATGTAAAATTGGTTAAGATGGTAACTTTCATGTTATGTGTATTTACCACAATAATAATGTTTAAAACCACCGTTTGTGAATCAGACATGCCTTCTACCATAGAGCCCTAATCTAAGAGCTATTGTCAAAGATTTCCCTGAATACTGACAAGGCAGACACACCCCTTGAATTCAGAATCTCCCAGAGGCCTATAATCCAGGCTTGCCAAATGATATGGTTTGCCTGTGTCCCCACCCAAATCTCATCTTGAATTGTAGCTCCCATAATTCCCATGTGTTGTGGGAGGGGCCTGGTGGGAGATAACTGAATCATGGTGTGGTTTCCCCCATACTGTTCTTATGATAGTGAATAAGTTTCACGAGATCTGATGGTTTCATACAAGGAAACCCCTTTCACTTGGTTCTCATTCTCTCTTGCCAGCTGCCATGCAAGACTTGCCTTTCACCTTCCACCACGATTGTGAAGCCTCCCCAGCCACGTGGAACTATGAGTCCATTAAACTTCCTTTTCTTTCTAAATCACCCAGTCTTGGGTATGTCTTTATCAGCAGCATGAAGACTGACTAATACACCAGATTTCTGCCAATGAATTCACACATTGGTCAGAACATCATGTAGGGTCCCCCAGTTCCCATTGCTTTCTTTCCATGTCCTGGCCAAAAGTCACAGCCACACCTTGACTGCTCTATGACACAGCCAGCTGCAGGTTTTCCCAGCAGGCTTGAACCCAAACTTTGGCCTTGAACATTTCCAGGCACTGATGAAGGTATCTAGCTTGTTGCCTAAAACACTGAAAGAAACTGGCCCCAGCCTTAAGCCAAATTCCTTAAATCTTCGTATAAACTCCCATACTCAGACTGCCTGGCTAGTGCTTCTTTCTCGGGAATTCCAGCCAGCCCCATCTTGGGATGGTTTGGGGGCATTCCCCACCCTCCCACCTTTGGTTGCTTCTCATTATCAAGCAGGACTCATCTAAGCCCCTCTTGAGCAATGAGACAGGCACACAGGATTCTGCAACGTTCCTGTTTTTTGGTTTTTTGTTTGTTTTTGAGATGGAGTCTCTTTCCGTTGTCGCCAGGCTGGAGTGCAGTGGCACGATCTCGGCTCACTGCAACCTCTGCCTCCTGGGTTCAAGCGATTCTCCTGCCTCAGCCTCCTGAGTAGCTGGGATTACAGGTCAGGTGCACATCACCATGGCTCGGTTAATTTTTGTATTTTTAGTAGAGACAGGGTTTTGTCATATTGGCCAGGCTGGTCTTGAACTCCTGACCTCAGGTGATCCACCCACCTCAGCCTCCCAAAGAGCTGGGATTACAGGCGTGAACCACCGTACCCGGCCAATGTTCCTGTTCTTTAAACAATACATTGTGCTTTGAAATACTGGGAACTATTTCATTGTCCATCATCAGAGAGTGTCCTAATAAGCTGTGGAATAGCCACACTATAGGATACACAGGAATGAAGAAGAATGAGGTGGAGCCACACAGATTCACAAAGCTTTTCAGGATTATTAGGTTGGTGCATAAGTAATTGCAGCATTACTTTAATGGCAAAAAAAACTGCAATTACTTTTGCACCAACCTAATATAATGTTGAGTGAAAAAACTAAGAAGCTGACAGGTAAGAACAGTGAGATACCAATCAAATACTATATTTTTCTATGGGAAACTACATATGCATGTGTGTATGTGTGTGTGCATATGTAATACATATAGAAGAAAAGGCTTATAAGGATATTAAAAAGTCATATAAGTGGTTACCAGGTTACCTCTGCTTGGGGATTGGCGGTCTAAAGGTCTTTAGCCTTATTAAAGTTGTCTATACAGGCTGGGCTCAGTGGCTTACGCCTGTAATCCCAGCACTTTGGGAGGTCAAGGCGGGTGGATCAGCTGAGGTCAGGAGTTCAAGACAAGCCTGGCCAACATGGTGAAATCCCGCCTCTACTAAAAATACAAAAATTAGCCGGGCGTGGTGGCGGGTGCCTGTAATCCCAGCTACTCGGGAGGATGAGGCATGAGAATTGCTTGAACCTGAGAGGCGCAGGTAGCAGTGAGCTGAGATTGTGCCACGGCACTCCAGCCTGGGCAACAAGAGTGGGATTCCATCTCAAAAAAAAAAAAGTTGTCTATACATATTTTGCTTCAAGGATGTATTCCAGTACTGCTTGAATAACTAGACATTTTTTAAGGAGGTAAGAGAACAGTTGGAACTTTCTAGGTGATTGGGTGATATATTGACTTGGCTGACATCCCAATTCTGCTATTTATACTATGAATCATTTGCCCTGTGGGGGGCTTCAGTTTTCTCATTGCTAAAATGGGAATAATATCCTTCCCCCAGTATTTTTGAATATCTCAATGAGATGATGTAAGACCCTTCGCAGGGCCAAAGTGCCATGTAAATATCAGCTTAGTGTCCTCTCTACGGCTCCCATTGGCCCCTCTTCCTTCTCAACAACTTCTATTGACTCCTGTCCTGCTCTGAACTCTCTCCTGGACTTGCCTAACTCTCCTGCCCTCACTTTTTTACACCTCCTTGCCTTTTATGATGTTCATGAAATAGAAGGATAAAAGTAACTCTTCCTGTTGTCTGGGCAGAGCCCCTAAAGTCCTAGAGCAATTCAGAAGGTGCCAAACACACTGTTTCCTAAGTTGGGATGCAGGACCACTGTGCTACTTGAGTAAGGGTCTGTGAAATCAATCATGCCATCCTCAGTCTATCACCCACCTCCAACTCTTTGGGAGACTGAAGGGGCATGGGGCACATGGTGAGGATTTCTCTGAAGGGAAGTGATCAATGGGCTGTAGGGGATATCAAAGAATGTGTCAGGCATCCCCTGAAATTTGAGGAACACAGGAACGGATTGACCGACCCACCCTTGAAAAAGCCCCTGTGTGAGAGGGAGTGGCTGGGTAAAGAGGGGCTGTCTTAGAAGAGCCTGTGCCTCCAGGGTTTAGGGGAGCAGGGATGGGCGTGGGGGCCAGATACAGAACCTGCAGAAGCAGACTCAGAAGGGGTGAGGTGAGGGCTGATGGGAGCCTGAGAGATCTTATGTGGCCAGGCCAAGGAGGCAGCCACGTCTGTTGACTGAAGCCTCAGCAATTCGAGAGGCTTCAGAGCAACCACAGACTCCTAGGGCAGAACTAACTCTGCAATCTGCCATGTCCAAGGGCACTAATGCCAGATACAGCTGCAAAAGGTCAAGCTAGCCCTTCCTGGCCTCCCTCTGCTTTCTTCCTGTCTCCTCCACCCCTGGAGCAGCCTGGGGAGAAAAGGTGAACAGAGAAGTAAGAGAAGGAGACAGTTCTCTGCCCTTGCAGCTTCCCCAGCCTGAATGGGCTTGGCAGAGACATTTTCAATGGAACAGAGCTTGAGGTTTGACATCACATGGGGCTAGATATTTTATTACATGAGAGTGGTCAGAAAAGGATGGGAGCTGCCTGGGGTTTTTCTGCGGGGCAGAATGGGTCCGAAGAATGGTTTGCTGGAGAGGATAAGGTGCTTTCTGCTTCTGTCATGTGCCCAGCTTGTTTGGGAAGGTGGTCACCTGTGTTTCCTATCTGCCTACATAGATGAATATCCTAGGTTTCAACAGACATGACTGAGCCTCCACCAGGCATTAAGCCTGGGGCCTCTCTCTATCTCTTTTGGTTTCATGCTGCAGCCCAGCTTGTCTGATCTGAAACTTTCCCTTGCCCCATTTTAAGATTTGAGAATGCATGTGTCATGAAAGCTTCTCATCAGAGGCCTGGATCCTCCAGGTACCAGACCCCATGTATCCAGGTGGATCCCACTTAGGAACCCAGGCAGCCCAAGGGCTTCTGAAATAGCAACACCTGATAGCATGTCCGCTGGGGGCTCAGGGACCCTGTCCCAGCCATGCTGGGCACAGCGCAGAGGAGAAGCCTTCTCCTCTCCTTGAGCCTCTCAGTTGCTTCTGCCAGTTAGACCCCACCTGCTAAAAGACCTCAAGGCTCCCTATAATTGTCCAAGTCAGCAGATGTCTTAAAAACGATGTGCCTCAGTCCCAAGTGTGTAGTAGTGATTTACAGAGAACATAGGGCCACTCACCTTGCAATAAATCCTCAAGGTGGACTCTCCTTTCCTGCAGGCCTCTCCCCTCCTCCTTTCTCATATGGGTGGCAAATAAAACAATTCTTTCCCCAATTCAAGGCCCAGTCCTCAATCAGCATTTCTTCCCTTCCCCTGTGGCCATCACCTCCCTGGAGCCTTGTGTTCCAGGCCCTCTCGCCTCCCTCTCACTGACCCCTGGTGCTCCAGGTGCCCAAACCTTACCCGGCACTCAAGGACAATATGCACCTCCCCTGCAAAACTCAGTGACCTGAACCCAGAGGCATCCTCCCTGAGAGGAGCCTGAGGTCAACACATGTTTACTGTGCCACTTCCATATGCCAGGTGTGCCCACTGACCTCAAAGAACTTATATTCTATATGCCAGGCGTGGCCACTGACCTCATGGAACTTGTATTCCATACGCCAGGTATGGCCACTGACCTCATGGCTGGGGCAGGGTCTCTGAAGGGACATGCTATCAGGTGTTGCTATTTCTGTTTGTTTTGTTTTTTTTTTGTTTTTGTTTATTTATTTATTTATTTATTTATTTATTTTTTGAGATAAAGTCTCGCTCTTGTCTCCCAGGCTGGAGTGCAATGGCATGATCTCGGCTCACTGCAACCTCCACCTCCTGGGTTGGAGCAATTCTCCTGCCTCAGTTTCCCAAGTAGCTGGGATTACAGGCGCCTGCCACCACGCCCGGCTACTTTTTTTTTTGTATTTTTAGTAGAGACAGGGTTTCACCATGTTGGCCAGGCTGGTCTCGAACTCCTGACCTCAGGTGATCCACCCGCCTCAGCCTCCCAAAGTGCTGGGATTACAGGCGTGAGTCACCATGCCAGGCCAGGTGTTGTTATTTCAGAAGCCCTGGGCTGCCTGGGCTCCCAGGTGGGATCCGCCTGGATACATGGGGTCTGGTACCTGAAGGATCTGGGCCTCTGATGAGAAGCTTTCATGACACATGCATTCTCAAATCTTAAAATGGGGCAAAGGAAAGTTTCTATATTCTAAGCACTGTAGAGAGGCATTCATCAAAGAATTTCACAAATGAATATAAAATGATAATATGGAAACATACCAGCAGGTGCCTCTCCTAGGCTCTTTGCACAGCTCTGTGATTAGTAGGATCTTGGGGAATTCCAGGAAAGACCAGGTGGCTGTAATGCAGAATGAAGGGAGCTTGAGGCAGGAGAGGTCAGCAGGAGCCCCCTAGGCCTTGGTAACATCTGGGCCTTTATTCTAAGAGGAAGAAGAGGCTGGTAAAGGGTTGTAAGTGGGAAAGTGACAGGACCTGCTTCATGTTTTCAAAAGCTGACAGATAGCTGCATGGAGAAGGGAAGGCTGGGAGATAAGGACAGAGCCAGGAGCCCAGTCAGGAGGCTGTCACTCTCCAAGCCAGAGCTGAAGGAGGCTCATGGTGGTGGAGAAGGAGGAAGGTGGTGGGAGGTGAGGCCAGCTGGACTTCCGGGGTTGAGTGGGGACTTAGGGAACTTCCCTGTCTCACAAGAGGATTGTAAAATGCACCAATCAGCACTCCATAAAATGCACCAATCAGCGCTCTGTAAAACACACCAATCAGCACTTTGCAGCTAAAGCACCAGTTTGGGGCCAATAAGGGAAAGGATTCTAAAAGTAGCCAATCACGGGGAGGATTGAAAAAAGGCACTCTGATAGGACAGAAATGGAACATAGGAGGGGACAATAAGGGAATAAAAGCTGGCCACCCCAGCCAGCAGCAGCAACCCACTTGGGTCCCCTTCCATGCTGTGGAAGCTTTGTTCTTTCACTCTTCACAATAAACCTTGCTACCGCTCACTCTTTGGGTCTGTGCCATCTTTAAGAGCTGTAACACTCACTGCGAAGGTCCCCGGCTTCATTCTTGAAGTCGGCCAGACCACGAACCCACCAGCAGGAACCAATTCCAGACACAGTGGGTAAGGAGATGTTCAGGAAGTGAAACTGATGGATGATGTGTGTAGGTAACGAAAGATCTCTGACCTTTGCACTGGAATGGATGCACTTCATTCCCTGCATAGGGATCACTGGGCATGGGAATTTTGGAAGAATGCAGAGGGAAATCATCAATGCAGATGTGGACACAAGCAGCATGCAGTGCCTTTAGGACACACACTCAAGAGATGCCGGAGGGGCAGGTAGACCCATGGATCAGAAACTCAGATGAGAACTCTGGGCCAGAGTGGCTAAGAGTCAGATGCAGTCACTCAAGCTGTGGCAGCAGAGCCTGCTAGGAGAGAGAACAAGGGGGAAGGGAAGGGCCTGGGGAACTCTTAATGATATTTAATAGCTGGGCAGATAAGAAAAAATCCTACAGTGCAGACAGAGGAAAAACTGATTGGAGAAGTAAAAGGTTTGTGTCAGGGAGAGAAGTATGTTTTTAAAATAGAGAATACTGCTGAAAAGTCAAGGATATGAGGCCTGGAAAATTGGGTTTTCTCAATAAATAAAAATAAAATAAAAATTGCTGACCTTAGTGGGATCCCTAGAGCCTCAGCTCAGTGTCCCTGGGCACCTATTTCCAATCTGGAATTTTTTTTTTTAAGAGACAGAGTCTCACTCTGTCATCCAGGCTGGAGTGCAGTGGCACCATCAACGCACTGCAGCCTTGAGCCTGGGCTCAAGTGATTCTCCCGCCTCAGCCTCCAGCGTAACTGGTACTACAGGCACACACCATCATGCCTGGCTAATTAAAAAAAATTTTTTTTTTTTAGAGATGGGCTCTTGCTATGTTTTGCTCAAGCTGGTCTTGAACTCCTGGTCTCATGTGACCCTCCCACCTTGGCCTCCCAAAGTGCTGGGATTATAGGCATGAGCCAATGTGCCCAGCCACCACTCTGGTGTGTCTGGAATTGGTGGGTTCTTGGTCTCACTGACTTCAGGAATGAAGCCGCGGACCCTCGCGGTGAGTGTTACAGTTCTTAAAGGCGGCGTGTCCGGAGTTTGTTCCTTCTGATGTTCGGATGTGTTCGGAGTTTCTTCCTTCTGGTGGGTTCATGGTCTCGCTGACTCAGGAGTGAAGCTGCAGACCTTTGCGGTGAGTGTTACAGCTCTTAAGGCAGCATGTCTGGAGTTGTTCCTTCCTCCCAGTGGCTTCGTCGTCTTGCTGGCTTCAGGAGTGAAGCTGCAGACCTTCACGGTGAGTGTTACAGCTCATAAAGGCAGTGTGGACCCAAAGAGTGAGCAGTAGCAAGATTTATTGCAAAGAGCGAAAGAACAAAGCTTCCACAGTGTGGAAGGGGACCCCAGCAGGTTGCCACTGCTGGGTTGGGCAGCCTGCTTTTATTCTCTTATCTGGCCCCACCCACATCCTGCTGATTGGTCCATTTTACAGAGAGCTGATTGGTCTGTTTTGACAGGGTGCTGATTGGTGCATTTACAATCCCTGAGCTAGACACAAAAGTTCTCCACGGTCCCCACTAGATTAGCCAGATACAGAGTGTCAATTCGTGTATTTACAAACCCTGAGCTAGACACAGAGTGCTGATTGGTGCATTTACAAACCTTGAGCTAGATACAGAGTGCTGATTGGTGCCTTCACAATCCCTTAACTAGACATAAAGGTTCTCCAAGTCCCCACCAGATTAACTAGATACAGAGTGCTGATTGGCGCATTCACAAACCCTGAGCTAGACACAGGGTGCTGATTGGTGTGTTTACAAACCTTGAGCTAGATATAGAGTGCTGATTGGTGTATTTACAATCCCTTAGCTAGACATAAAGATTCTCCAAGTCCCCACCAGACTCAGGAGCCCAGCTGGCTTCACCCAGTGGATCCTGCACTGGGGCCGCAGGTGGAGCTGCCTGCCAGTCCCGCGCCATGTGCCCACACTCCTCAGCCCTTGGGCGGTCAATGGGACTGGGTGCCATGGAGCAAGGGGCGGTGCTCGATGGGGAGGCTCAGGCCACGCAGGAGCCCATGGTGGGGGAGTGGCGAGGCTCAGGCATGGCGGGCTGCATGTCCCGAGCCCTGCCCTGCAGGGAGGAAGCTAAGGCCCGGAGAGAAATTGAGCACAGCAGCTGCTGGCCCAGGTGCTAAGCCCCTCACTGCCCGGGGCCAGCGGGGCCCGCCAAGCCCACGCCCACCCAGAATTCTAGCTGGCCCACAAGCGCCGTGCAGCCCGGGTTCCCGCCCATGCCTCTCCCTCCACACCTCCCTGCAGGCTGAGGGAGCCAGCTCCGGCCTCGGCCATCCCAGGAAGGGGCTCTCACAGTGCAGCGGCAGGCTGAAGGGCTCCTCAAGCGTGGCCAGAGTGGGCACCAAGGCCAAGGAGGCACCAAGAATGAGCTGAGGGCTGCCAGGGCTGCCAGCACGCTGTCACCTCTCACTGGGACTTTTATTTGTCCATCAGTAAAGAGGAAGAGATCATCACCAAGGTCCCTCCCCTGCTGAGCATCATTCCAGAGCACCATCATGGAGGAGACGTCCCTGCCCCTGTCTTCACTTATATCCTCCCTGGGCCCCTGTCTTCACTTATATCTCACCACATCCCATGGGCATGTTTTGGGGTCACACCCCCAAAGCCACAGGGCCCATGTGTGGGTGGAAGGAAATTCCTATTCATTCAACATTCTGTGAGTGTTGGGCCTTCAGTGAGCCAAACCCATTTTAGGTGTTATGTGGAAGACAAAAAAGAGACAAGATGTGATGCCTGCCCTCAAGGATCTCATCATCTCTGGAGAGATAAGATGAACGTACTCAGAAAATAATAAAGTCTAGAAACATAACAGGAAAGTGCATGGAAATGTACACAGAGGCACCAAGTGCAAGTGGGACTCTGGGGGCAGCTGCCTGGGGAGGGGAGATTGGAGGAGGCCTTGAAAGGGTGATGTGCCCTTGCTGGAGGAGCTGGGGCAGCGGCATGGAGCTCAGGTATGACAAGATGGGTATGGGGTTGGCCTGGCATGTCTGACCAGGTGGGGTGGGGCTTCCCAGAGATGGGGTGACACAGGTGTGGCTGCTTCATTCCATCCAGGCCCACAGACCTGGGCCCAGGACCAGCCAGCACCACAGGTCCAAAACCACATTGGACAGATGTCATCCTGTAGGAACATGTTCCCCGAGGAGGGTCCCTTCAGCCCTAACTAGGATGCCTGGATACACAGACACACAGCACATCCTGGCCAGGGCGGGGGCTGTGGGAAGGATCCAAGCATTGCACTGCAGCTTTTATCACACCTCACCCTTCTCCATCCCCACAACCAAATCGATAAAGGGTCATCTCCTACCTGAACCGTTCACAAACTCCTTTCTCCCTCTTCCTGTCACCCTCACAGCTGGCCTCTTGCTCTCTTCGCTGGCATGATGGGTGCCCTTGGGCTTCTCCCTGGGCTCTGCCAGCTGGACCTTCAGCCTGGGACAAGCCTTTCTAGGCAGTTCATCCCTGAGAACACTGTGGTGGCCACATGAGGGAGGCAGATCCTCCCCCGCCCTGGCTCCCGCCCATATCCCAGCAGGCTCCTCCTCCTGCACTCTTCATTGGCTTCTTCCCTTCCTCCCCTCATCACCGGGCTTCTCCTCAGTGCTGTCAGCTTGGGCCTCTTCCCTTCACCCATGATGCCTGTGGCCTTCTGGAAGGGTCACATGCCCCTCTCCCAGACCCTCAGGGCCCTCCATCCTGAGCCCAAGCCCTCCCTCTAGCCTTAACCTGAAAGATTCCCTCAGAGCCCGCCACATAGTTCTAGGGCCACGCTGCCTCTGTGTCTTCGTTCCAGCTGCACCTTCAGCCTGGAAGGCCTTCCTCCTGCCTTCACCTGATAAGTCCCTTCCTGCCCTCCAGATTCACCTCGAACCCCACCTGTCTCAGAGCAAAATGCACATAAGGGTGCACTTTGGAGTCAGAGACCTTGGCCCTTAATTCCTGCTTGGCCACTTTCCAACCATGTGGACCTGGGCAAGTCACTTCACATCCTTCTGAGTCTGTTCAATGAGTAATAAACTTTCCCAGTTCATGAGAGGAGGGGACGATCCCTAGCTCAGAGGTGAGAATGGAATGAATCAGGTATATGGAGTGCTCAGCACAGCACCTGCTCCTGGTCTGTCCTCAGGAGTGCCTGTCATTGGGGTGTGTTTCTGGTCCCCTCTCACCAACTGTGGAGCTTCAGAACATTCTGAGTCTCTCTGACAGCGCCCAAATTGGACGTTCTTTAGAGCTGGCAAACTCCTCTCAATTAGAACTCTTCTTTGCACCCCTTTTGGTCTTATACAAAATGTTTTTGTTGAATGGAAATAAGGATTCCCCTGTCCTGAAAAGAACAAACACTTCCTGTGGCTGGAAGTGCCCAAAGCCAACAAACGCCTCTCTGCCAGCACCTGCCTTCCGACCCTGAGGCCAGCCCAGCACCTCACCTCACACCTCACCCCTGTGTGTTAGACCACTTTGGCCTTTTTCTGGTTCCTCCTGTGCCTGCAGCAGAGTGACCTTGGACAGGGAAAGGCCTGGCTGAGCAGAGATGACCCCCAATAACAGCCAAAGAAGAAGCTGTGCTCGTGCAACTGACAGAACCTGCCCACCAGCCAGGCTGCTCCTCACAGACCTTCTTCTCGTGCTGTGCAAACAGAATGAATGGTGCCAAAGGCCAGGTGGAGTTACACTATTGGCATGGGAAGAGGCCTAAGGTGTTCATATTTTTGTATGCACAGAACAAAAACTTTGAAAGGATATCCTCCCACTTCCTCCTCCTCCTCCTCCTCTTCCTCTCCTGCTCTCTTCCTCTTTCTTCTCCCCCTCTTCCTCCCCCTCCCCCTCCTCCCTCTCCTCCTCCCCTTCCTCCTCCTCTTTCTCCCCCTCCTCCCCTTCCCCCTCCTCTTCATCCCACTTCCCCTTCTCCCTCCTCCTCCTCTTTCTTCTCCTCCTCCTCCTCCTTCTTCTTCTTCCTCTTCTTCTTCTTCGATTTTCCTGCTTTAGCTCCATTTTTCAGGAAATTATACATTTCCCATTCTATTTGTGGGCAGGGTGTGTAGCTCACCCTTCCCGCAAGGGGGAACATTTTTCTGGCTTTGTTGATTTCTGTATTATTTCTATTTTTTCAAAGAGATGAAGTGTTTTTTTTTAAACAAGTAAAGAAAAAACAAAACATTGAATGAATAAATAAGTAAATAAATACATGGCTTTAGCCCACGCTCTCCCTTTTCAAGAATTTGCTCTTCCATAAATCCACCTTCCCCCAGGGACTTACTCAGTTTAAGCAGTCAGTGATCTTCCAACTAGTCCCCTTGGGATAGAAAACTGAAGAATTGAGGCCCTGTGGGGGTGGCTGTGGAAATCACACAGCCAGGGCTGTCCCAGTTCCCTGCCATCACTATGACTAAGGCAATGCCTGCTGGCCAGTATCCAGCCAAAATCCCTCCAAGGATGGGGAGAGAAGAGAAGCCTCTCTTTCCAGCACACCCAGAGTGGCCCTGATTGGCTAGGCCAGGGGCACTGGATCAGCATCTCCCAGGCTCAGAGAGTTTCCTTCCTAAGGCCCCAGGGTTCTCTCCCACCAGCTGACCTCAGAGGATCTGCCTTCATCTCTTAGAGATGTGAGAAATCATGGTCCCCAGCAAGCAGGAGGCAGGTTCCTGAGGCTGCTCAGGGCCACTGCACAGCTGACACCTCCTTCCCAGCAGCCTTCCAGCTCCACCTGCAAAGGAACGTGTGAGAACGGGGTCCAAACCGTCCCATCATGCCTGTCCTTCCCCCAGGACAGTAGGTGTCTACTCACAGAAGTCCACACAACTCAAAGCAAAGAGAACCCACTCAAGGCGGTGAGCAGAGTCTCTCCTTATCCAGCCCTCTTCCTAAGAGAAGAACTAAATGACCAGGCAAATCAGAGGTGTCACCACACACAGTGACAAGGGGAGCTCTTGTCCAGCTGGACTGGGCCTCACTTGAAGGCTTATTGGGGAATTAGTTAATCAGCAGTCCAGCAGCCTCCCGGAGCCCCCAGACAAATGGAAAGGACATTTCTGGGGTTCATCTCCCAGCCCCCTTTCCTGCCCTCTACCCAACCATGCCCTTATGCCTCATACTCCAGTTAGACTAAATGCACCCAGCACTCATCATTTATGAGGCTTTGCATACGGTAATTTCTCAGCAGAGACCACCCCCTTCCCTCCCTCCTCCCCCGCCTGGATAACTCTTACTTCAAATGCAATCCGTGCCCCTGGAAAACCACCCTGCCATTTCCCCTAACTTCCTTGGTGTCCCTCCTCTGGCCAGGCCCACTGGCACCCTGTGCCCCCAGAATAGCCCTGATCCTCAGTCTTTTGTGGATCATAGGTCTGTCTTTGTATAGATGCAGGAGTCCTTGAGAACTTTGCCTTTCTATAGCCCCAGTTGCCAGCACCTAGCAGCGCAGCACTGAGTAGCTGCTCAATAAAAATGTGTTGAAGTGAATAAAGCCATGAATTAGAATGTAGATTAAGACCTAGAGGCCAGGAGAGGTGGCTCATACTTAGAATCCCAATATTTTGGGAGGCCGAGGCAGGAGAATTGCTTGAGAACAGGAGTCCAAGACTAGCCTGGGCAATATGGCGAGACCCCATCTCTACAAAAAAAAAATAGTTGGACTGTGTGCCTGTGGTCCCATCTACTCAGGAGGCTGAAGTGGAAGGATCCCTTGAGCCTGGGAGGTAGTGAGCCATGATCCTGCCACTGCACTCCCGCCTGGGTGACAGAGAAAGACCCTGTCTCAAAAAATGTTTAAAATTTAAAAAATTTAAGAAGACCTAGAATTTAAACTCCTCCCATTGGTACAAGGAAGGAGTGAAATGAAGGCTCCTTCTCCTGACATCCCAAACTACATCTGATAGTCTGTTCTGCCTGTTGGCCAGGCCCCAGACCTCCACCTTCTGACTCTATCCTCTCCTTGCCCTTTGCCTCCATGAAGCTCTTTCTAACCACCCTGGTGTCTGAACCCCCAAGCCCTTGCTGCCTGAGCCCTTCACCTGCCACTCGATTGGTCCTGCTTTGGTTCCTGATTAGATGTGGGCCTGATTCTTCTCCCTACCCAGGGCTGAAAGCTCCAAAAAGGCAGCCAGCCTGGCTTCTGCTCCTTTGCCTCCCCCAAAGGAGAGGTGCGGGGTATGGCCCAAAGTCTGCATTTCATAAATTAGCAAAATGGCTGAGTGAATTGATGAATGGCTTAATTTCCAAGGAGGGTTTCACATTATTACACAGCTCCCTACATCCCTGTGGGACTTGGTGAATCTCTTGTGCCTTCTCCAAAGAACGTGTGCTATGGCACATGGCACATGTAGGCATATTCACACTCCTCTCAGTGTGCATAAGACCCTTTGGGTCCCCTACTACCCCACACCTTCTGAGTGCCCGCTGCTCCCACCCCAGGTTCACATGTTTCTTTCCCAGCCCTACTGTAGAAGAAAGAGCTCAGGGGCTGAGGGCAGGAGCCTGATGTCACCTCAGCTTTGGTCCTGACTTGCTGGGAGGTTTGCCCTCTATATGCCTCACCTTTCTGTATCTATGTATTTTCTTTCTTTCTTTCTTTCTTTTTTTTTTTTTGAGACAGGGTCTTGCTCTGTCACCCAGGCTGGAGTGCAGTGGCACGATCATGGCTCACTGCAGTCTTGACCTCCTGGGCTCAAGTGATCTGTCATCTTGCTTCAGCTTCCTATGCAGCTGGGACCACTACCACACTTGGTTAATTTTTTTGTACAGGCAGGGTTTCACCATGTTGCCCAGGCTGGTCTCGAACTCCTGGGCTCAAGCGATCCACTCACCTTGGCCTCTGAAAGTGCTGGGATTATAGGTGTGAGCCACCACACCTGGCCCAGCATCAAAACGTTAGGCAAATTACTCCCTGCATTCGTTTACCTCATTTGGCCAGCTAGCTGGTTGAAAGGCCCATTCTTGCTCCAAAAGTCTATAATTCTGTGGATCCCATGATACTTTTATAATTTTGTGATAAGCAACTACATTTTTATCCTGTCATTGCATGTTTTATATCTGAAAGTGCACAAAAAGATTTTTATGTTCACTACCTTGCAAACAGATAAGCAAACAGAGTCATTGAGAAGGAAAGTTGGAAGTTACTCAGGAAGCTAGAAGCTAAGGAAAGACTGAAGCAAGTAGGTAAGTACCCTGGCCGGGGTAGGGGATCGGATTCCATCCAAAGCCTTCTTTGACACAGTATTCCAGGTTCATTTGCTTTCTCCACTTACCAAAAACAAACAAACAAACAAAAACCCACTAGTGCAAGACTCAGGCCAGCTCCCTCTGGCTCTTCAGAAAATGTGGTTGTTTTCTTGAATTTGGCCCTGGCTACAGCAATGACTTGAGAACGTCTGGAGAGACCTGGGTAAAAGCTGGGTGGGTAAGTTACCAGGCTCCGCCCAGACTCAGTCTCCCAGCACTACGGGCGCAGAACTGGGCTCTGAAGGCAGATGTGAGTGTCATGGTGTCTTCAGTGAGCCTGGGCTGTCAGCTCATGAAAAATTTAAAAAAGATTTTGAATTAGTTGGCATTTTTTAATGGGATGATTTTATATTTTAAAATGCAGCTTTCTGGCATATTTTGAAAATATGAGGCTGGGTGCCGTGGGTCACGCCTGCCACCCCAGCACTTTGGCAGGCAGAGACAGGAGGATTGCTGGAGTCTAGGAGTTCCAGATCAGCCTGGGCAACAAAGCAAGGCCCTGTATCTGGCCAAAAGGAAAGAAAGAAAGAGAGAGACAGAGAGAGAGAGAGAGGAAGGGAGGGAGGGAGGGAGAGAGGGAGGGAGGGAAGGAAGGAAGGAAGGAAGGAAGGAAGGAAGGAAGGAAGGAAGGAAGGAAGGAAGGAAGGAAGGAAAAGAAAGAAAGAGAGAGAAAGAAAGAAGAAAGAAAGGAAAGAAACTACCTTGCTAAGTAGTGAGCCCTCTGTCACTGGAGAAATGCAAGCAGAGACTGGAGATCATTGAACTACACCAAAGGGATAACTGTATCAAACACTTCTTAAGTCTCTTTCACCTGTGATAGTCTATGATTCAAATAGTTTAACTTCAAGGGCTCCCAGGGGGACTGAGTGGGGAAAGATGGAATGTGAGGTGCAGTGGATGAGATAAGGAGAGAACAAAGGAATGAAGTGGTGAGCTCAGCACTGTAGCTCTCAGTGTGCAGAAAAGTCAGTCAGGTTTGAGGTCAGGTCAAGGGAAACCAACAGTACATTTACATAAATGTGCTCTAAAGTTCACATTTGCTAATCTATGGGAACAGATAGATACACCGAGATAATCAACTCAGTTTGAGGCTTCTTGGAATCTTTATGCTGCTCATCACCCTGAAAGAACGAGACAGACGAGAGCAAAGTCATCTATGTGGTTACAGTGGTATTTTCCCAACTACAGGTTAGAAGTCATGAAATCAGTTTCGTTGGTTGTAACTAGCATTAAAAAAAATGGAAAATACCAGAGCGCATCACAAGTGATTAAATGACCAAATGTTTCATTAAAGTTTTGTTTCAATACTATGTAAGTCTATATATCATATATGTATGTGCACCAAATTACGATGTAAAATTGGTGAAAACGAGTTTGAAAGCCACTAGGTCAGAGACAGAGTGGGGGCAACCCTGCTCTGTGAGCCAAATCCTGTCTCAGATTAATTTTATCTGGCCAGGGGTGGAGCAAGATGGCAACCAAGTGCAATCCTGATGGGAGCAAGGTGACAACCAGGCCTGGGACCAAGCTCTGATGGGCTTCATTCCTGAGTCGAAGAGGCCACAGCAGAGTGCACAGGCAGATTCCAGACTTTCCTCGGGAAGCTGCTATCCGTTTTCTCAAATGAGGTCTGTGTGTCCCACCATTCGCAGACATACCTCCCCACCGTGACCACCACCATCCTGACACTTGCATATTGGCCACACTCCTCACCCTAGCCCAGGAGGAAGCCAGGAACTTCTGCATGCATCATGTCTTTGGAGTCCACCCCATGGCCAGTCCTGTTCCCTCCATCCCTCCATCTCAGCCCCTTAGTGCCTCTTCCATAAGATCGCCTGGGGTATGGCAATGAATTAGTGGCATAGTCTGTATCCCCTGTCTCCATATTCCTGAATTGCTTAACTTATTGAATAGGTTTCTTTAATATCATCTGCAGACTGAAGGAACTGACAAAAAATGATGGTGTGGATTTGACAGTTGCTATGAATGAGCTGCCTACAATTCTATCTAAGGCTGGCTCTCCATTGGAGCACAGGATTCTGTACTCTCACTTTCTTTTTTTTCCTTTAAATTAGAGATGGGGTCTCTCTGTGTTGCCCAGGCTGGTCTTGAACTCCTGAGCTCAAATGATCCTCCCACCTTGGCCTCCCAAAGTGCTGGGATCACAGGTGTGAGCCTCCACACCCGGCCCAACTCTCACTTTCCTGACACATCAATGATCCCCTCTCAATTATGCCCTCTGGCATACCAACATGATATAATTTTTCCCAATGTCGAAAATCAAAACATAACTTCTCTTGACCTCATAGCCCCCTCCAGCTTCAATCCTATTTTTCTATTCTCTTGGCAGTTAAAATTTCTTGAAAGCTTTCTCCAAACTTATGGATTCAAGTCTTCGTTTCAGTGAGTTCTGAGTCTTCCACTGGAACAAAACTGTTGTCAGTTCACCAAGGACCTTCATGTTGCTAAACCCAGTAGTGAACTTTTCATCTTTATCTTACTTAAGCCATTAACAGCATTTGATACCTTTGGTCACTCTGTCTTTTTTTGAAATACTTTCTTCATTTTGACTTCAAGACAACGCTCTTGTGGTTTTCCTCTTTCGACATTGCCCACTCTTTCTCATCTGCATTCTTACTTCTTCCTCATCATGCTGGTGTGTAAACACTGGAGTGCACTGATCTGGGTTCTGGACCTGTTTCTCTTATGCATCTACACTCACGGCCTAGGTGATTTTACCCACACACATGACTCTTCATACCTTCTATACCCTGTCAAATGTTAAATGATTTATCTCCAGAGCTCCGGGTGCATACATCCAACTGGCTAGTGCACATCTTCACTTGCATATCTTGTGACCATCTGAAATGTAATGTGTCCAAACAAAACTTCTCGCAGTTCTGTTTCCAGGGTAGCATAGTGAGCTCCTGCTGTATAAACCCCTACAGGTAACTACCATAAACTCTGAACAAAATAGGAAAAACAACGACCTGAAGGCCCTGGAGTGTGAACAAAAGCAGGCAGTTTCTGGAGAGGAGTTACTACTTGGAAAAGGAAGATGCATATGCGATGAGTTTCACAGTTTTTATGGCTTTTATCCAAAAGGCAGGCCATGGTAGAGTCACACAGGGCAGATAAAATGATGATAGAAAGTCTGCAGTCCTTCTGGCCTAAAGAATCAAAGGATAGAGTTCGAGGCAACCACAGCCATTGGAAAGTGAGAGGGAGAATCCATAAACAGAGAGACGCAGAGAAGAAGAACCACAAATTCTGTGTATAAACTGTCCAAATCTCTGGCCAATTCCTAGTCCATGCATGCATGAGGCAGGCTCAAGCAGCCCAGATAAGAATGTACAAACTAAACTGAGATTTAAACTGGTGCTCAAGAGATGGTTTACAGCTTGATCCAACCAAGTTAATAGCTTGCTTAAAACAAAACAAAATTTAAAAATCAGCATTTGGCCAGACGTAGTGGCTCAATCCTTTAATCCCAGTGCTTTGGGAGGCTGGAGCCAGAGGAGCACTTGAAGCCAGGAGTGTGAGACCAGACTAGGCAACATAGCGAGACACCTCTCTACAAAAAATAAAATTTAAATAAAAATTTAAAAAAGTAGCCAGGCATGGTGGCTACTTGGGAGGCTTGAGGTGGGAAGATCGCTTGAACCCAGAAGTTTGAGACTGCAGTGAGCTATGATTGTGCCACCACACTCCAGCCTGAGTGACAAACTAAGAATCTATATTAAAAAAAAAAAAAAATCAGCAGTTAGGGGAAATAACAGAATCCAGAGTCTCCACAACTTAACAATCATAATGTTCAGAATATCCAAATTATTTCATATATGAAGAACAGGGAAAATGTGATCCATTTTTAAGAGACAAGACAATCAACAGAGACTGACCCTGAGATGACCTAGATATTGGAATTAACAAAATCATAATTCTCAAGTAGCTATTATAACTATGCTTTGCAAGCTGAGGATGATACATGTACAACAAATAAAAAGATAGGAAACCTCAGCAGAGAAACTTGATTTAGAGGAAAACTAAATAGAAATTCTAGAACTGGAAAAGATAATGTTTGAAATAAAAGATTCACCAGTTTGGCTTAACAACAGTGTTCAGATAATAAAGGAGTCAACAACCTTGAAATCAGATCAGTACAAAAAGTATCCAATCACAACAAAGAGAACAAAGATTGAAAACAAACAACAACAACAAAAACACAGAGCCTCAAGAGCCTGTAAAAACAGTATCAAAATGTTTAACATGTGAAATGAAACCCCAGAAGGAAAAAAGAAAGACTACAGGATAAAAGAAGAGAAAATATTTGAAGAAACAATGGCTAAAATTTCCCCTTATTTGGTGAAAGACATGCATTTACAGACTCAAGAAACCCAGCATACCTCAAGTAGGATAAATACAAAGAAAATCTCCCTTAGGCACATCATAGTCCAACTGCTAAAAATCAAAGATAAAGAGGAAATCTTGACACAGCCCAAGAAAAAAGATATGTTACACATGGGGTGGAAAAAAAATCAAATCACTGGTGACTTCTCATCAGAAACCATGGAGGGCAGAAGCCAGTTTTTCAAACCCAGATTTATGAAATATCCTTCAAAAATGAAGGTAAAACAAAGAAATTTCCCCAAAAACAAGAAAACTAAAAGAATTCACCATTAGCATCTTCACTACAAGAAATGCTTAAGAAAGTTCTCAGGCTGAAAGGCAACAATACAGAAGACAAATGTGGATCATTAGAAACAAAGGAAGAGTGTGGGAAACAGTAAAAAGCTAGGTCAATACAAAAATCCTGATTCCCACTCTGACCCACCTAAACCTGCTTTTTCCCATAGACTTGCCTGTCTTGGTGATGGAAACACCGGCTTAATGGTTCCCAGGCAAAAACCATGGCATTCATTCTTTTTCTTACACCCCAACAAGGATTCTTGTTTCTACCTTCAAATTAAAATGTATTCAGAATCTGACCATTTTTTCTGCCTTTCTTTGTCTTCCTGGTCCAAGCCACTGTTTTGTTTTTTTTTTTCTTATTTCTAGAAGAGTTTTGAATACACCTGGATTGCTGCAATAGCCTACTCATTGATCTCCTATTTATTTTATTTTATTTTATTTTGTAGAGGTGGGGTCTCAGTATGTTGCCCAGGCTGGTCTCCTGACTCGCCCTCCCAAAGTGCTGGGATTACAGGTGTGAGCTGCCACACTCAGCCCTGATCTCCTATTTCTACTCCTGGTACTGTACTGGTGATTTTCCACATAGCAGCCAAGGAAACCTTTTAACACCTATGCCAGTTTTTCACTCTTTGCTCAACACTCTCCACTGGCCTTCTACCTTATCAAGGAAAAGAAACGAGTCCTTAGCACAGTCTACAAAGGCCCCGGGTGATGTGGACCCAGATACTTCTCTGATCTTCCCCTCTTTATACACTTCCTCCTTCTCTTGCTGTGATCTGGCCACCTTGGTTTCCTTGCTGTTCCTCAAAGACACCATGTACCTGCCTCAGGGACTTTACATTTGTCCTGGTATCTTCTCTGGTAACTACAGGACTCACTCCCTCAGTTCTCTGTTCAAATGATGCCTCATCAATGAAATGTTTCCTAGCTACTCAAAATAAAATAGCAATAGAGCACACATTTCCTATCTTGCTCTGTTTTTCTTCTTAACACTTACTGCCTTCATATTCAATTAAGCAATTGTTGAATGAACGAATGAATGGGTCTTTTTTTTTTTGAGACAGGGTCTCACTTTGTGACCCAGACTGGAGTACAGTGGCATGATCTTAGTTTACAAGGCGTAAGATATAGGCAGGTGGAGGTCCCTGCAGCCTTGACCTCCCAGGTTCAAGCAATCCTCATGCCTCAACCCCCAAGTAGCTGGGATCACAGGCATACTATTTTCGAGACAGAGTCTCACTCTTTCACCCAGGCTGGAGTGCAGTGGAGCAACCTCTGCTCACCGCAACCTCCGCCCCCCGGGTTCAACGATTCTCCTGCCTCAGCCTCCCAAGTAGCTGAAATTACAGGTATGCACCACCATGCCTAGCTAATTTTTGTATTTTTAGTAGAGATGGGGTTTCACCATGTTGGCCAGGCTGGTCTCGACTCCTGACCTCAGGTGATCCACCCACCTCAGCTTCCCAAAATGCTAGGATTACAGGCATGAGTCACACTGCCCTGGCCTAAAAATTTTTTTTTATTGTAGCAAAATATATGAGAAAGAAGAGAACCTTTTTATCTGCACGCTCTTTAGTTATCAGGCCCAGAGAGGCAATGAAAAGTAACAACATCACATTCCGTTTCAAGGCATCTGTGAGACTGCAGAACAGGTGGCAAAGCTCACCCTCACAAGCTGAAAAAAATTATGGACAAGAAGTTATCACTGAAATTAAACGGTGGCAGACATGTCCAAGGAATGCTGCGAGGATTTATCCCTTTATGAACCTTGTGATAGATGAATGTGTGGAGATGGCAACTAGCGAGCAACAGAACAATATTGCAATGCTGGTAAGATGAGGAAATAGTATCATCATGTCAGAAGCCTTGGAACAAGTGTAAATAGTGGCTGTTCAACGGAGACTTTCATGTCCCCTCTCCAAAGGGTCCATTTCACTATGATGTAAAAATTAGGTCATGAAAATTTTCATATTAGACTTTTTGTTAAATAAACTTTTGTAATAGTTAAAAAAATAAGAAAAGTGACAGCATGCCACATCTCATCCTCTCCACCATCTTGGGCTAAATAATTATGTCTTACAGCCCCTTGCTATGTGGGCTCTAAGACTAACTGACACCAAGTAGCTATAAAATGCCACACACTCTGGATGCCATAACTCTTACCCTATAGTTCAACAATGTATAGCCAATTACTAATCAATGTTATTTCCATTAACCAATGAGAATTCCTGACAAACAACTTTTTATCAGCCCACTCATTGTCTCCTTTTGCCTTTTTGACTAAAATGTTTAAGCAATTAAAAAAGTTTTTTAAGAGACAAGGTCTTGCTATGTCACCCAGGCTAGACTCAAACTCCTGGGCTCAAGCTGCCTCAGCCTCCTGAGCACCCGCCCCCTTTAACTTTTAAAACCCTGCTTGTGGCCAGGCGCAGTGGCTCATGCCTGTAATCCCAGCACTTTGGAAAGCCAAGGCGGGCGGATCACCTGAAGTCGGGAGTTCAAGACCAGCCTGGTCAACATAGTGAAACCCCATCTCTACTAAAGATACAAAAATTAGCCGGGCGTGGTGGTGCACACCTGTAGTCCCAGCTACTCGGGAGGCTGAGTCAGGAGAATCACTTGAACCCGGGAGGCAGAGGTTGCAGTGAACCGAAATCGTGCCACTGTACTCCAGCCTGGGCGACAGAGCGAGACTCCGTCTCAAAAAACAAAAAACAGAAAAAAACAAAATAACCTGCTTGTAGCAGAGGCCAAACAGAGCATTGCCAAGACAACTTGGAAGTGTGTCCTGAGCTATAGTCCTTAACCTTGGCCCAAATAAACTCTTTATATTAATTTTGCCTCCATTTCTTTCTTTAGATTGACATAGCCATAACATAAAATTTACCATTTTAACCATTTTTAAGTGTACAGTTCAGCGGTGTTAACTACACCCACAATGCTGGGCAACCAACACCATCATCCATTTCCAGAATTCTTTATTTTTTTTAACTTTTAATTACAGGTACATGTGCAGGTTTGTAACTTAGGTCAACATGTGTCATGGGGGTTTGTTGTACAGATTATGTTATCAACCAGGTATTAAGCCTAGTACCCATTCGTTATTTTTCCTGATCCTCTCCCTCCTCCCACCCTCCACCCTCTGAGAGGCCCCAGTCTCCAGCCTGGGCGACAGAGCGAGACTCCGTCTCAAAAAACAAAAAACAGAAAAAAACAAAATAACCTGCTTGTAGCAGAGGCCAAACAGAGCATTGCCAAGACAACTTGGAAGTGTGTCCTGAGCTATAGTCCTTAACCTTGGCCCAAATAAACTCTTTATATTAATTTTGCCTCCATTTCTTTCTTTAGATTGACATAGCCATAACATAAAATTTACCATTTTAACCATTTTTAAGTGTACAGTTCAGCGGTGTTAACTACACCCACAATGCTGGGCAACCAACACCATCATCCATTTCCAGAATTCTTTATTTTTTTTAACTTTTAATTACAGGTACATGTGCAGGTTTGTAACTTAGGTCAACATGTGTCATGGGGGTTTGTTGTACAGATTATGTTATCAACCAGGTATTAAGCCTAGTACCCATTCGTTATTTTTCCTGATCCTCTCCCTCCTCCCACCCTCCACCCTCTGAGAGGCCCCAGTGTGTGTTGTTCCCCTCTCTGTGTCCATGTGTTCTCATTATTTAGCTCCCACTTATAAGTGAGAACATACGGTATTTGGTTTTCTGTTCCTACCTCAGTTTGCTTAGGACAATGATCTCCAGCTCCATCCATGTTGCTGCAAAGGCAGAACTCGTTTTATCATCCAAAACTGAAACCTGCACCTGTTGGACACTGATTCCCCATTTCTCCCTTCCTCAGGCTCCTGGCAGTCACCCTTCTACTTCCTGTCTCTATGAATTTGACTACTCCTATCAGTAGAATCAGACAATATTCGCCATTTTGTGACTGGCTTATTTTACCTAACAGATGTCCTCAAGGCTCATCCATGCTATAGCAGGTGTCAGAATTTCCTTACTTCTTCAGGCTGAATCATCTCCATTGTATGGATAGAACACATTTTGTTTACCCATCCCTCTGTTGGTAGGGTTCAATCTCGATAACAAAAGGCAGCAGCCTCCTTCACCAGAAATGTTTTTCCCTTTAGGCTGCCAGCCCCAAGGGCAAAACATACCGGCATCCTTTCTCCTCACCCCATGAGGCTCTCTCCAGGCAAATGGAACCTTTGCGCTGGGAGCCACCTACTTCAGATCAGATTCTATGATGAGGACCAGATTTCCCAGAACTTTCCAGTCTTCCAGGAGACAATACTGAGTGAGGGCTAGGCAAGCAAATGGCAAAATGCCCCAGGTCTTCCCCCTTCCCAAACCAAGAAATACAACTGAGCTGCCCACCTGGCCCAAGGGAGCAGGAGGGAGAAGAGGCCTGGGGGGAGCAGCCCCCATTTCCATCTTGGTCCTGCACACAATGCCCCAATAACCCTATGCCCCACGCAGTCATGACCTGTTTAAAGCAGAACATGGTGGTGTGGCCGCCTGTTGGGCACCGGAGGTGACGCAGCCTCAGGGCCCAGAATGGCCTTGCCTTTCCCAGCCTGGAGAACACAGCACCCGCAACAGCATGGCCCTGCCCCACCCCATCCCTCGGAAATGAAAGGGCTTGCAGGCTGAAACCACTGCAGGAAAGCAAGGAAAAAGCCAAATGTCAAGCAAACAAAACAAGAAAGAAGCCTGTATTAGCCCGTTTTCACGCTGCTGATAAAGACATACGCGACACTGGGCAATTTACAAAAGAACGAGGCTGATTGGACTCACAGTTCTGCGTGGCTGGAGAGGCCTCACAATCATGGCGGAAGGCGAACGGTACTACTTACATGGCGGCAGCAAGAAAAAAATGACGCAGAAGCGAAAGCAGAAACTCCCTATTTAAAAAAAATCAGATCTCATGAGACTTACTACCATAAGGAAAGTATGAGAGAAAGCGCCCCCATGATTCAATGATCTCCCACCGGGTCCCTCCCACAACACGTGGGAGTTACAGGCGTATCATTCAAGATGAGATTTGGGTGGGGACACAGAGCCAAACCATATCAAGCCCCTACATCCAGAAAATGCAAATTTCATTCAACGCTAAAAAGAAATGTGCTGCCAAGCCATGAAAAGACATGGAGAAAACTTAAATGTATATTATTAAGTGGAAGAAGCCAGTATGAACAGGGTGCATACTGTATGATTCCAACTATATGACACTCTGGGAAAGGCAAGACTACGGAGACAGCAAAAAGACCAGTGGGTGCCAGGGGTTGTGGGGAGGGAGGGATGAACAGGCGGAGCACAGAGGATTTTTAGGGCCGTGAAACTACTCTAAGATGCTGTGACAGTGGATAAAGTCATCACACTTCGGTTAGAACTCATAGGACATCAACACCAAGAGTGAACCCCAATGTAAATATAGACTTTGGGTGATGATGCATCCATGTGGGTTCTTGATTTAATGAATGTACTACACATGTAGGGGCAGGGGTATATGGGGACTCTCTATACTTTGTTTTCAAATTTGCTATGAACCTAAAAAATAAAGTCTATTAGAAAACAAAACAAAAGGATCCCCAGATGCCCTGAGCTCTGTTTTACAAGGAGGGCCACCTGGCTCCTCAGGCCACAGCTCAGAAACCCCTGCTCTCCCTAGGAGGACTCACAGCCACATTTTCTCCTTTGCCTTTTAAGTGAGCTGTAGGGAATCCTTTGAGTCTCTTATCTGGGTCACCATTTAGGATAACTTCCACCGGAAGTGTCCTCTGCTTGGTTCCTTGACTTCAGTGTCACCTCCCCGGAGGCCTTCCCCAACTACCCCATTCCTAAGTCACTGTCCCTCCCATTATCTTGTATGATTTTCCGCCTAGCACTCATCATGTCTGAAATGAGCTCACCTGTTTACATATTTATTTTAAGTCACCCCTTTAGAGAATGCAAGCTCCACTAAGGCACTGACTGTGCCCCAGTGCCCAAAGCAGTGGCTGGCACAAAATAGGGGCTCAGCAAATATTTGTTGACTAAGTTATTTTGTTACTGAGCAGCAGCATAACCTAGGGCAAGGCAGTTAAACTTTTCTGGGCCCCAATTTCCTCATCTGTAAAATGGGCAACTACTCTTAATGATTGTGCTCCCTTTTCACGACAATGCTCTGAGTGTTGTCTCAACATGACCTTGTTTTGCCACGAAAGGACTTCTGCAGTGAAACAGGAGAGGTCCCCGATCCCCCTCAGGATGTGCCGCTTGCCTTTTCGGTCACCCCTGCTGCTCAAATCCCTCTCAGGAGGTGGAGCATGCAGATGGGAAGGTGCAGAGGCCAGGGTGAGCCATTTGGGCTCTGGCCCTACTGTAGTGTCTAAAGGTGGGTGCCTGCAACCCCAGTGTTACAAAGCTCTTTCAGCTTTGCTGTCCGCAGACAGCATGTGTTAACCAGCTCAATGGACCCTCTGCCTTTTCGCAAGGGCAGAGGGCCAGTGTGACAGCTCTCTGTATCACAAGCTCTTATCCAGCATCCCGGAAAAACTGGGTCACACATGGGCTTGAAGGATGAATGCGAGGTTTTATTGAATGGTAGAGGTAGCTTTCAGTGGGACGGATGAGGAGCCAGAAGGGGGGTATGGAGTAGGAAGGTGATCTTCCCCTGGAGTCAGGAGCCCAGCAGCCGGACTCCTCTCTGACCGTCCCCAGTCAAACTCCTCTCCATGTTCAGATGTTCCTCCTCCTCTCTCTTTCTCTACTGCATCGTTCCACTGTCCGTCTGCTGGTCTGCTGGCTTGCTCGTCTGTTTCTGAAGCCTGGGGTTCAGGGTTTATATGGGTGCAGGATAGGGGGTGTGGCAGGCCAAAAGGCAACTTTTTCCGCTCAAAAACAGGAATGCCTGTCCTCATTTAGGGCCGTGGGTCTTCAGGCTTGAGGGTGGGGCCTTTGCCAGGAGCCACCCTCTTCTACCCAGTATTTCCCTGTCTCCTGTCCGTATCACCAGGCCATCTGGATGAGTACTTATGGAGAGAGTTCCTAGCAGCTTAGGATGTTGCTTCACCTTGCAGACTTGAGTTTGCAGATGCCAGAGAGAGGTTGGAATGTGTGCTAAGTAGATTGGGGTATGTGAAAGTCTCTCCCCTAGAAGGTCAGCCGTAAGGAGGCAGGGATCTTGTGTTTTATTGATTTTTATGGCCCAAGAGTCTAGAACAGTGCCTGGCACCAAGGAGGCTCAACGAATAGTTATGAAATGAGCACAGGAGGAATGCTGGACACGTCATTGACAGTCAGAACATGAACTTCCATTCTTGGGTGAGTGTCGTGTGGTATGGAAACAGCAATAATAATGCCTTCCATTAGTGGAGCCCTCTGTAAGGTGTTTACACACACATCATCTCATTTGATCCTCATGACAACCCCATGAGATAAGTACCATTAAGTGTTATTATCCCCAATTTACAGATGAGATAACTGCGGCTCAAAGAGTTCAACCTGCCTGAGGCCACATAGCTGGTAAATGGCAGAGCCTGATCTTGAACCCAGGATTTTCTCGCCCTAGACCCAATGCTCTTATCTGCCTGTGTGTTGCTGGTCATGCAAAGCTCTGAGTGTGAGCAGCAGCTGGAAGCCTCACATGAGAGCCAAGGCCCTGAGGAGAGCCACCGTGGAGCAGACAGAAGAGCTACCTGTGACTGAGCCCAGGCCTGCTGTGCACACGGAGGCTGCCAGAGCTCTCAGCAGCAGGGGCTGGGTGAGAAGCAGGAGAGGCGGGTGAGCTGGGCCAGGCCCCTCTCAGCTCCAACAGTGGCCAAGTGCCCCTCTCGGGGAGCTCCTGAAGAGACCGCAGGGCCTCACGTAGGCACCGCCACCCTCAGGCCCAGACATGCATGGCTCCAAGCGGGCCCTTCACAGGGCACAGATGATGCCAAGGATGTGGGCAAACTGGTTTGAGGAACACAAAAACCAACTCAGAGTTTTCTCCCTTTCCTCAACAAGGCACCAGACCTGGCTTGTCACACCCCATGCCAAAGAGAAGTCTTCAAAGTGGTGTTTGCTTAGCCCCCACATCCTCCTGACTTTGCCAAAGTCCCTTATGTCTCCCTGAATCATACCTATGCACACGCACATGCACGCGCGCGCACACACATACACACACACACACACGGTGCCCAGGCCACCCCAGGCTCCTTTCCCTGGGAGCCCTCGAGCTGAGCCCTGGCCCACCTCTGTCCACAGCAATCCTTCGCACTCATCCTGCAGGCTCTTCTCTCTGCTGTCTGTTCCAAAGGCGCCTTCCCTCTTCTATACTCCAGAGCCTGCCCCAGGCCCTCCGCCCTGGTTCTGGCCATGGGGGCTTTCCACTAGATTTATCTGTACAGGTGACCGCTCCCCGTGTAGCCGCCAGCTCCCTGAGGGTGGGGCTCAGGTCCCTGTGCTGGGACCCACCTGGTCTAGGGGTCACAACCGCTGGCCACCCTGCATCAGGCCCTGTCAGGGAGCCCTGGGAGTCAGTAGTTTAGCAAACCTGTCTGGGGCCTTCCCCCTAGAAGCCACGGGGGCAGTCATGAAGAAATGGAGGGTGAAGGTGGGTGAGGCCAGGACAGGTGGCGGTCCACACACTTGCTGTGTTAGTCATCAAGGGCACCCAGCAGGGCAGAGGTCATCCCTAAAGCTGTGGCGAAGGGGATGGGTGGGGAGAAGGAGACAACGCATGCCAGGGAAAAGGCATCATGTCAAAACATCTTGCTGGAAAGGCAGTTTTCCTTCCAAACTCCCCAACAAGACCCGAAACGGTAAGTGGAAGGATGTCTTGATTAATCTCAGGCTGACGTTTTGCATTTGCTCTTGCAGCCAACACACACCGAGCCATCAAATCACCCTCCTGCTCCGTGCCAGACTCCGAACATGGAGTCCTCATTCCTGCCTCAGCAGCACTGGACAGAGCTTCTCTGTCCTCCCCCCTGGAAACGAGCCCCCAGCACAGGACCAAACAGATCATTGCTTCTACCTAGTGGAGCTAATAGCTGTTCATTGACCACATAGTCACTGGTCCCCTACTCTCCCAGCCCCTTGCTAAGCACGTCACATGCATTATCTCATTTACAAATGGGGTGGTTCCCAGAGATGGTTCTGGGGACCACAGTGGAGTGGGGAGGGGGCACTTCTGACCTGAGTGGAGTGAAAAGACAGCTGGCCCAGTCTCTTTTTGCGTCTGCTGCCCAGCATCATTGTCAACAGAGTCCACCTCATGCTTAGGAATGGCCCGGTTTGGAAGGTCAATTCTAGGTTCAGAGATTGGCCCAAGGCACCCTGTACCTGAGAGGGGCAGACACTAGAGGGCGCAAGGGAGCTGCGCTTGGTGGCCCAGGCTCAGGGATGTCAACTGGGCTGCAGCCTTGGGGCAAGGGCTATCTGCAGAGAGTGGAGGTGGGAGGCAGGTGGGGGGAGCGGGGGAGAGTGCCTAACCCTGCTCCCTCACAGAGCCCTTGCCCAGACCCAGCCCTAGCCCACATCCTCTCACCTCCATCAATCGCCCAGCAGGAGCCTGACCGGCCTGGGAACACAAGAGGGAAAAAGAGGTTCTGGGCCTGGCCTCTCCCCTCTCCACCACTTCAGCCCAGCCAGGCCCCAGCAAGCCTCTCCCCTGGGCTGGAGCCCTCAGACTCTCAGGCCGCTCTCCCGATGGGCTGGGACTGCAAATGAACCACGTTCTGGAAAAACAGCCAGGCCGTGCATCAAAGAAACTCCACGGCCCTCCAGGGGGTAGGTGTGGGGCGGGCCGGAAGCAGGAGGTGGAAGGACTGATAGAGCCCTTGGTTAGGAGTTCCGGTTCGGAACACCTTCTCCTCCTTAACCCACCCTCAGGAGCCACGAGGGCTCAGTTACAAGGCTCAGGTGGCAGCATCCTGGCCTGTGAATCAGGCTGACCAGGGTCCCTGCCCCGCCTGCTCCCACGGCCACAGGGCTTGTAACCTATGAAAAGCCCACTTCTCATGGTCCTAGCCTGGCCAGAGGTTCTGAATGTGCCACTGCCCCGTCCAAGACTCTGCCCGCAATCAGACGTGGGGCAGAGGGGGCGCCTCCAGGAGGCAAACTTTCCATTCCCACTGGGACAATGCCATGACCCCAGCCCCTGCTGACTCCTCTCCAGCCAATGGATCAGGCCACAGGAGGCCCTGCCTGCCTCCAGAAACTGGACGCCCCAAGCCTCTAAGTCCTCTTCTTGAGAGAAGGCCACATAAAAGGCAAGGTGGTGACGTCTTAGAGGCACGTACTTCGGTGTCCCACAGACTTGGGTATAGGTTGTATCTCTGATATTAGCGCCTTGGGCACAATACTTCACTTCTCTAAGCCTGGGTTGATTCACCTGTAAAAGGTAATAAGAACATCTACTTCACAAGGCTGGTGTAAGGATTAAATGCTACAAAGAACAGAAAGCGCAGAGCCGAGTTCCTGGTGCCCAAGCCAGCAGGAAAGTGGAGGAAGATGCTCTGAGCAGCACCTGCAGGGCCCTTCCGGCTCAGCCCAGTTTCTCTCTGCAGTGGAGTCCCAGTCTGCAAGCTAAGAACGGAGATGGACTTTCAATCCCAGCTTGGTATACATGGTATACACGGGTGAATTTTCTATTAGACAGTGGCACCAACGGATGTAGGAAGCCATGAATGCCTCGGTGTCAGCAGCCTCAGCCTAAGAATCATTCATTCATTCATTTGTTCATTCATTCACTTATTCAACAGACACCTTTTTGTCCAGACAGTCCCAGATTACAACTGTTGTCCAGATGTAATTATTAATAGCCTCCTTTGACCTTGAAGTGTCCCAGTTTGGATGATAAATTATACGGTCTCTCTGCCTACTGAGCACCTACTATGTGTCAGGTCCCAGGCTAGGCCCCGGGGATTGAGAGAGAGATAACGTAATGGCCCTGCCCTCTAGGGCTCCGGAGACAAGGCGGCGATTGCAAGGCAGTGTGAGAAGGCGGGGATGGACATGCTGCCACGGGACCCCTGTACCCCTTGACAAACCTGTCAAGAAACAACCTTTGACTTTCCTGCCCTTCTTGGGTTTATTTACTTTTACTTGTTTACAAAAAAACATTTTTTGGGTTAACTCATGTCATGCTTTTCCCACCTGATACAGGAAGCAGCAGTCCTTTTATTTATTATGTTTTCCTCTGGCCTCAGAAGTTGCCTTTTATTGAGATATATATGATCCTTTTTCAAGAATCTCAAATATCCCATCTGTTCCCTACATGATGTCACAAACATCAGTTTTCCAGAAGCAGGGTCCTAATTTATTTCTTCATGAAAAGGGTATGACATGAAAATGGCAGTGACCCCGGGGCATGCTCTGGTTGGCCAGCTCCTCACTACTTGTGCCAGAAACACCTCCATGACATTTAGGGAAAAAGACAGGAGGAGTCACAGGAGAGAAGATGAGATGAGAGGCAGGGATGTTCCCTGGGTGGGCTCCTTCCTGATCATCTAAGTTGGGTGTGGGGAGGATGGTTGCCTCCCCACAAAGGACCTTAGGCAGCCAAGTGTATGGGACAGGGCAGTGGCCTCTCCCTTCATGCCAGACCAGGGATGCCTTGGCCTGTGCAGTCTGTAAGGAGCCCAACCCCGCCAGTTTCCCACACCCCATACCCATTCTCCTCAGCTCAAGCCTCCTCCTTCCCTACCTAGGTCCTCCCAGTCTCCTACTCAGTTAACTCCAGAGCACCAGGGGCCAACTGGCATCGCATCTCCTTGTCCAGCACTTGGGGATCGACTTCCTGATTCTGTCTCACAATTTCCCGAGTCACTAGATGAAAATCCTGATAATTCACAGCCCGGAAGGAACACTACCTTATTTAGATGTGCTGCCCCCAGAGGAGGGGGAAAGAAGGAGGAGGAGGGGGATTTAGAAGCAGGTAGAGTAAAAGGAGAAGATAGAAGGCACCGGTGATTCTGAGAATTCAAGGTAATGATGATGTCATCACAGGGAGGGTTTCACTGGGGTCAGTGGGTGGGGGCAGGGCACGGTGGCTCAGACTTGTGACTCATTTGTAGAAGTGGGCCCTGTATTCAGAAGTCATTCATTGAGTAAGCCAGTAATTGTTTTGACACTCATTTATTGAGCTGTTATTATGTTTCAGACCCTGGACTAGGCCCCTGAGAGGGAAGATCAGGGCCAGGGCCCGGGAGCTCATGGTCCAGAGGGGAAATAGAGTTCCACTGCAGGGTGTGGGTGGGCACCGGGAGAGGGAGGTGTGGCAGGAGGCCAGAGGCATGGCTGACAGATGGATGGACAGACAGACAGACACAGACAGCCAGGCTCCATGCAGAGGGAGTGGTCAGGAAAGACTCCCTGGGAGAAGACGCGGGGTGGGGAGAGATATCTGAGATAATCGTGTGGGAGGAGTAGGCAGAAGCCAGACATGGGAAGGGAAGGGAGTTTCAGGCCGCGGGAAGAGCATCGTGCAGGAAGGCATGGAGGTGGGGGCTCGGGAACGTTTGGGGAAGTGCAAGAAGTTCCTGAGATGGTGAAGGGAGAGAAATGGCTTTGAGGAGGGAGGGGCAGCCACTTCCTAAAGAATCTGAGCTGCTGCCCTGCAGGCCCTGAGGATCCTGAAGGCACCAACCCTGGGGCTCCTGGCCACATTCCCCCTTCTTGGGAGAGGAACCCCTGAGCGTGCGATGGCCAAGTCCCACCCTGACAGACCCGTGCCTGGCTCCAGCCCTTACCAGTGTCCTGCCTGGGCTGGAGGTTTTTTCGCACATCATCCCATGCCACTCCTTTTCTCCAGAACCCCATTGATCCTCGAAGGTGGCCCAGTGTCCCCTGACGATGGAGAGATTGAGGTTCTCTAGAGGACAGAGCTTGCCAGGCCCCTCGGCTAGCATGTGGCAGAGCCAGAAGCAGAAGCCAGGGTTGTCTGGGCTCTTCCCACTTAATTCCAAGCCCTCCCTTGCACCACAAGTCCTCCCTAGGAGCTCCTGCTCGAACTCCAATTTCCAAAGTGTTTTACAGCCCCTGCCCGAATGCTGCCTGTTCCAAGTGATGCCCCTAAAAGCAGCCCGGCTTCATGGTGACCTGACACCACCCCAGCCTCAACCATCTTACCCATGCCCTGTTTGATCCCATTGCAGGACCCTGGCTTGTAGCTGTGTGGACCCCATACTCTCTTCCTATCCCAAACCTTCCTATTCCACCAGGGTGCCCTTCTACAAGGGCCAGGACCTCCTCCAGGCCACAGCAGTCACCTGGATGATGAGGGCTCCAGGAGGCACCCTCAACCCTGGAATTCTCTTTTTCAAATAAGAGATCCAGGTGAGAACCGTGAGGATGGGCACTTGGACAGGAAGAGGTTGCTTTGGCCCGAGCAGCAACAACGTTGGTCACTCAAGCCTTCACCAGGTTCTGCTCCACACAGAAGGAAGGAAAGCCCATCTCATCAGGCCTTGGGCACCAACAACACAAATAGTTCCTTGCTAGCAATACATTTTCCGATATGTTTTTGCTTCTTCCTCTAACGTTTAACCTTGGGTATATTTCAAAAGAAACGCAAGTCTGCTTGCTTCTGATTCATACTCACTGAGATCATCAAAACCAGAATTATTTGGTAATAGCTGCTGGGTTTACTGGATGCCCTCTGGGATCTGTAAAATCTCTATTCCTCAGAAACAGGAAGTTTCAACAAGAGGAAGGAGGCTGGTTGCAAAAATCAAAATTTGAATCTTCTCCACCTATTGGAGAGCCCAGCGTTCATGGCACTTCCTTCAGCCAGTTAACAAATGTGGATTCGGTGCCTACTGTGTGCAGGAACTGGGGACAGAGATGATTTTTTAAGGGGCTCTGAATGAGTTTGCTGAGGCTGTCAGAAGAGAATACTGTACATCAGGTGGCTTCAACAACAGAAATTTATACTTGCACAATTCTGGAGGCTGGAAGACTGACAGGGGCCAGCAGGGGTCCTTTCTTTTAAGTCCTCTCTCTTTGGCTTGGAGATGGCTGCCATCTTGCTGTGTCTGCCCATGGTCTTCCCCCTGTGTCTGTTTGGTTCTAATCACTTCTTGTAAGGACACCAGTTACATTTAATTTAGTCCCCCCCAATGACATCATGTTAACTTAATTACCTCTTTAAAGACCCTGTCTCCAAATACAGTTGCATTCTGAGGTTCTGGGGGGTTAGGACTTCAACATATACATTTGGAGGAGTGGGGCGCACAATACAGCTCAATGTAGCCTCTGATCTCAAGTCATTTTCCCATGTCAGGCTTTCTCTTTGGTCACCATCTGAGGTTAGCGTCTGCAGTGAGGTGGTCGAGGTGCCTGTTCTGGGCTGTTGCAGGTTTTCTAAGGCAGGATGATTTGGTGAAATGGCCACCACACCATCAGATCTGAACTCTTGTTCTGCCCCCTTCACTAGCTGGGTGGTATAGCCTGAGTTATGTAACCTCCAAAGCCTCAGTTTCCTCATCAATATACTGAGAATAATCATTTCTGCCTCGAAATGGGAGTTATTTTCCCAGGTGTGTTTCCTGCAGGGTTTCCTCCTCCAGTGAACCAAGGATGTCTTCTCATGGCTCTATGGGAAGAAGTGGGCTGGGAAACGCAAGAAAGGAAGACACAGGGTTAGAGGTCAGGTCCCTCAGCCAATCCATAGCCAAAATGCCTGACTGCTAGTACTTAACTCCTTAGGCTTGGGCCTCTTGGGAGCTGATGCTTGGTCAACTCCCACTGTCTGGGCAGACCCACCCACAGACTCTCCATCCTACCGGGGTTCCCCTGGCTCTCTCCCCTGTGACTTCCTTGGAAAAGGTTCTCCTCTGAAGGCAGCCAGCTCTCCTGGGTCAAGTCCCAGGCTAGGAGGAGGGGAAAGTGACCTGGAACTGAGCATCCCCCAGGAGTACCCACGGCCAGGACCTCTGTAAGAGTGTGGTCTAGGAAGGCAAGGGACAATTGTTGGGTCCAGGCTGAGCCCACTTGCTGAAAGATGATCTTGGATAGAAAACAAGTCGAAAGGCTAACAGAGCCCTCTGTTTAGAGGAAGCCCTCACAGTTCAGGGATGTAGGGGCTGGACTAGTCATTAAGGGACCTGGGTTCAAATCCCAGCTCCAATAGTTGCCTGTGATAGGACACTAGCAGCTTACATGACTGCCCTGAGCTTCAGTTCCTTGGCTATAAAATGGAGATAACAATACCTAACTTGTTCCCCTCAAAGGCTCAAAATGGAATAAAGTGCTGGGCAAATATGAGTACATACTTTATTGTATTGCATTGTAGTTGAGACAGAGTCTCACTGTGTCACCCAGGCTGGAGTGCAGTGGCACAATCATGGCTCACTGCAACCTTGACCAGCTGGGCTCAAGCAATCCTCCCACCTCAGCCTCCTGAGTAGCTGGGACCACAGTTGTGTGCCACCACCCCCAGCTAATTTTTCAATTTTTTTTAGGGCTAGGGTCTCACTATGTTGCCCAGACTAGTCTCAAACTCCTGGGCTCAAGCGATCCTTCCGCTTCGGCCTCCCTAAGTGCTGGGATTACAGGCTTGAGCTACTGTGCCCTGTCTGAATGTATATTTTATTAATAAGTAAAAAAAGTGCCCACTTGGCCTCCGTCCTCTGAGCCAGCACACCTTCTCAGCTCCTGGGAATGAAGGGAGAAGTCCTTGTTGCTTTGGTTTCCAGTTTCTTTAAGCTGCCAGTATTCTACACATACACACACACACACACACACACACACACACACACACACACACACACCCCATTGGGAGCAGATTAAGGAGACATCTCTTCTCAAAAAGAAGAGCATTTCCAGCTTTGGAGTAAGAAGAATTAGGGCTCCTTCTGGGCCACATCACCTCTTCAGCATCATCCCACCCCCAGCTGGAGCCCTCTCTCCCTCCCTCCCTGAATTACTCACACTCTTGGAAACATGACTGATGACTTCGGGATGAGTAAGAGGCTCTTGCGTGTCATGGTTTGACTGCTGGGAGGGTGAATGAGTTCAGTGCTCCCTTGAGCAAGGCCACCGCGGACCTGCACCAGGGGTCCAGGCCACAGGACCCCAGAGGGGAGTTAGGCTTCATTTAGCAATGAACTAAAAGTCCTGACCCATTCCCCCTTCTTCCAAGCCCCTGAGTGGTGATGCCCTCTCAGTGTGGAGTGACAGCCCCAACACCTTTCTGGGCTGCCCAGGTAGAGGGTGCAGGGGCTCCTTCTGAGCTCCAGGTGAGTGCATTCCTCAGACCCAGGCACTCCTGGCCTCAATCCAGCAGAGCCAGGCCCAGGGGCAGCTCTGAAATTGGCAGCCAGCGTTGGTTGCTGTGGAAGGTCCCTAATCCTGGGGCCCACTCTGCAGGGTGCGTGTGTGTAGTGGGTGTGTGTGTGTAGTGGGTGTGTGTGTTTATACTCTCGTGGACACCCTAATCCACAATGTCAGTCAAGCAAATATTTTTGGTCTGTTTTCCATTTTCCATGTGTCTCATTTCAGAACATTTGGTGGACATGGGATCACAGCAAAGGAAGGTATTTATTCAATGCATTTTGAAGTGTCTTTTTTACATTCTTGGAGTTACTGTGCAAGGTGAACATGCTAACATAAGCAAAACAACATGCGAACTAGACTTTCCTGGCATGCAATAAATAGGGCTGAAGCATCAGTTTCCCCATACCTAAAGTGGGTTTAGTCAGAACACAGATGGCATGGAAAATAACGCTAGGACTGTGAAGCATGAGGCAGCCCCACCTCAATGTCCTCTGCACCCGGCACAAGACAGTGTCCTCACTTGGAGCCTTAGCTTCCCAAATAGTCACTGCTGTGTGAGAGATGGGGCTTACCCTCAAACTTTGCTCCATGCAGATCTTGAGGACTGAATGTCCGTTGAGTTGCTCAAGATGAAAGTGACGCATCAAGAGGCAGGACTTGATTAAAGCATTGCAGGACAGAGGAATAGAACTCAGAGGAACCCATTATGAAGCTGAGTTGCTTGATGGCACTGTGATATCCCAAACACAGGGCTGAGAATAAGTGAGGCAGGGAAGCCTACTGGCCCAGGCTCTCCCAGTTCCTCCCCACCAGCTCCTCTCCCAGCGGAATGGGTGGTTCCCTCCTCATCACCACTCTGTATTAACATTAGGCTTAGTCCTTAAAATGTAGGGTGTTAGAAGTTCCATATAAAGCTGGAATAAACCTTAAGTAACTAACTCAGATGTTCAAAAAATATTACCTTCTTTCCCTTCCTATAACTCAGATGAGATACCTCACCACCAGAATGGCAGAAAATTACCCAGTCAATGCAGGTTTTCCTGCTCACTCTTCTCAGTGTTGGGAGTGATTTTCTAGGAGGTTCACCAAGAGCTAAGGAATTGGGGAGACTTTCCTCATGCAGGCCTCTGCTGGGATGGCTGCTGTTCTGATCTTACAGATCCTTCAGTGTGCACCTCTCTCCGGGTCATACTAAGGGTCTAGAATTCATGCTGCTGCTCCCGCACTGATCAGAGCCAGGGGAGGCTCTACAAGCCTTGTCTGTCCCCTCTGTGAGATCTGGCTGGCTCCTGAGACCCTAACCCAAGATATAGGGGTGCGGAGCTGCTCTCTAATTCCCTCCCGTTCTTCTCTCTCCTCCCCACCTAGGGGATTTTTCTCTAGTCTTAGAAGGGTGGTTGGCTGGAAGCGGGAGTGGGAGCTGCTCTCTATCATCTGTTTTCTCCAAACTTTGTGACTCTGTTCCTTTTAGGACTTGGGCTTTGAAACCAAAGCCAGAAAGGCACCCCTTTTTTCTGCCTTGTATCCTGTTATATCCACTTCCCCCTTGGTAATCAGCTCAGAACTGGTGGTGAAAAGGGCAAAGAATAAATACTGGGAGGAATGGGCTGATATTTCAAAAATATGCTGCACAGGCTGGGCACAGTGGCTCATGCCTGTAATCCCAGCACTTTGGGAGGCCAAAGCGGGTAGATTGCTAGAGCCCGGAAGTTCAAGACCAGCCTGGCAACATGGCGAAACCCCATCTCTAAAAATATACAAAAATTAGCCAGCTACGGTGGTGTGCATCTGTAGTTCCAGCTATTTGGGGTGCTGAGGCAGGAGGATCGTTTGAGCCTTGGAGGTCAAGGCTGCAGTGAGCTATGATCATCCCACTGCACTCCAGCCTGGGCAACAGAGTGGGACCCTGTCTCAACAAAACAAAACAACAAGAACAAAATATGTATATGCAGTACCCCATGGAGCATCCGTCTTCACTACCTGAATTAGAACTTGCTGTAAAGCTATTGTAATCATGACAATAAGATATTGGTGTCAGAATAGACAAGGAGATCAAGGAAACAGAATAGAAAGCCTAGGAGTGAGACCATGTGTATGTGCTCAACTGACTCCCAACAAAGGCACCAATGTGATTCAATGGGGGAAAGGAAAGTCTTTTTAATTTTAAATGATGCTAGAACATCTGGATATTAAAAAATGAGCATTGACCCTTACCTCACATCATACTCAAAAATTATTTTGCACCAGGCACAGTGGCTCATGCCTGTAATCCCAGCATTTGGGGAGGCCAAGGCAGGCGGACCGCTTGAGATCAGGAGTTCAGACCAGCCTGGCCAACATGGCGAGACCCTGTCTCTACAAAAAATACAAAAAATTAGCTGGGCCTGGTGGCATGCACCTGTAGTCCCAGCTACTTGGGAGGCTGAGGTGGGAGGATGGCTTGAGCCCAGGAGGTAGAGATTGCAGTGAGCCCAGAATGCGCCATTGCACTCCAGCCTGGGTAACAGAGCCAGCCAGACCCTGTCTAAAAAAAAAAAAAAAAAAAAAAAATAGATGGATTATAGACCTAAACAAAAAATCTAAAACTATAAAGCTTCTAAAAAAGAACAGAAGAGAGAATTTTCATGACTTTTGGGTAGGCAAAGTTTTCTTAAACAGATCACACACAAAGAAAAACAATCACAAACTATTAAAAAATGAAATAATTTGTAGATTGGACATTATCAATTTTTTGTTGTTTTAAACTCTTTTGTTGGTTTTTATTTGATTTTTTTTTTTTTTTTTTTTGTAGAGATAGGGTCTCCCTGTGTTTCTCATGCTGGCCTGGAACTAACTCCTGGCCTCAAGCCATCTTCCCACCTCAGCCTCCCAAAGTATTGGGATTACAGGTGTGAGCCACCACACCTGGCCATTTTTGTTTTCTTTTTCTTGGAAAGACGTTTTTAAGAAAATAGGCAAGTCAGTCTGTGAAAAAAATATTCACACAAAACATATATCTGACAAAGTTCTGGTATCTAGAATATATAAATACTCACAAATCAAGAATAAAATGATTTTTTAAAGCCTAATAAATAAAAGGGAGCAAAGGACATGAACAGACACGTCACAAAAGAACATTACAAAGGGCCAGTAAACAAATGAAAATTGCTCAGCCTCATTGTGCTTAATCAGGAGATGCAAATTAAAACCACAGCAGTAACATTTCACACCCACTCGAATGGCTAAGCTGAAAATGACCAACAATAGCAAATGCTGGTGAGGACGTGAAGCAACTGTAACACACACTGGTGAGGGCACAAAATGGTACAACCATTTTGGAAAACAGTTTGGCAGATTCTTAGAAAGTTAAACATACACCAACCCTATGATTCACCAATTCCACAACCAAGTATTGCCCCAAGAGAAATAAAAACAGATTTTCACCCAAAAAACAACTTGTCCAAAAATATCCATAGCAGTTTTATTCCTTTATTAGCAAAAATTGGAAATTACCCACATGACCATGAACAGGTAGATAAGTAGATAAATACATTGTGGTTTCTTCATACAATGGAACACTACTGAACAATAAAAATGAACAAACAATGCAACATGGACAAATGTCAACACTGTGTGGAAGAAAGAAGCCAACACAAAAGAGTGCATATGAGATGATTCCAAAAAGGATCTGTGATGATAGAAATCAGAACGTTGGTTGCCTCAGGGTGGGGTTGGAGATTGATGAAGAAGGTAAAAAGGCAACCTAGTGGAGTGAAGCAAATATGCTATATCTTGATTGGAATTGTGGTTGCATGGGTGTACACGTCTGTCAAAACTCAGTGAGTTTTACACTTAAGATCGACGCATCTCAGTGTCTCTAGAGTACACCTCAAAAACAAACAAACAAACAAAAAAACAAATAAAACACACACACACAAAAACAGTTGCCAGGGGCAGAAGAGAGGGGAAAATGGGGAGTTTTTGTTTAATGGGTACAGAGTTTCAGTTTCCTAAGATGAAAAAGCGATTGGTTGCATACAATGTGAATATACTTAATGTGACTGAACTGTACTCTTAAGATGGAAGAGATAGTACATTTTATGTTATGTGTATTTTATTACATTTTAAAAATAAAAAATTTTAAAAAATGCTAGCACATAAAACCTAACAAACCTTACTCGTGAGTATTTAAACACAAACAACTTGATTTCTTTTTTTTTTTTTTTTTTTTTTTTTGAGACGGAGTTTCCCTCTGTCGCCCAGGCTAGAGTGCAGTGGTACGATCTCGGCTCACTGCAACCTCCACCTCCTGGGTTCAAGCGATTCGCCTGCCTCAGCCTCCCGAGTAGCTGGGATTACAAGTGTGCACCACCACATCCAGCTAATTTTTGTACTTTTAGTAGAGACAGGGTTTCACCATGTTGGCCAGGCTGGTCTCGAACTCCTGACCTCAGGTGATCTGCCTACCTTCGCCTCCCAAAGTGTTGGGATTACAGGTGTGAGCCACTGCACCCAGCCAACAACTTGATTTCTTAATACAATATTTATCTAGTTTATTAAAATAAAAGAGGCAAGATAAATCTTTTATATAGTTAACCAGAATAAAATAAAATAAATAAAATAAAATAAAAAACAGGCTGGTGCTCTTGCTCTCAAGACACCACAGTGTCCTGTCCAGTGGCAATTGGTGCCTTCCAGTGGCATCATCACTTTCCATATGGCACCATCATGGGTTTGGAGGGCAGAAGTTCTCCCCTCCAAATGCCTGCATGGCTTGTGCTGCTTACTGGGAGAAAGACGTTCCAGAACTACTTCCTGATGAATTTCTTCCCAAAGAGCCTGGTTTCTTGTGTCTCCATATTGGATCTTTTTCACTTTTTCCCTCCCCCATCCCCACCCCACACCCTGAGCCCAGGCACCTTAGGGAGTCAACAGGTGCCTTTTAAGGTGACTGTGTTCCTCCTGCGTCATGCTGTCTTCCTGCAAACCTGCTTGGTGGAGGGGCCAGCCGGTGGGGACGCTGAACCCTGAAGCTCTTCGGTCCCAGTTGCCCTGAGTCTCCCTGACAAGGATGTTGGTTCTGGCCCGTCCTTCCCTCTGTCCCAGGCAGAGGACAAGGTCTTTCTGGCTGCAGTGCCCAACATCTCACTCTCCTTGCAGACAATTCAGAAAATAAAAAGTGGCATTGGAGGAAGGCACATGGAGGAAATGTCTTTGGGTTGTCCAGAGGTTGAGCTTACTCTCCACCAGAATTGCCGCTAGACCTCTGTCCCCCTCAGCTTGCCCCTGCTCCACTCTACAGCACCCCCAGCTCAGGCCCAAGGTGGTGACTTCTTAAACAGTGGGTATGGAAGGTGGCATTGAAGAAGTGAGTGAGTGCTGAGCCCTGGCCTCTCCGTAGGACTGCCTGGTTCTCAGACTGAGGAACATGTGGACCCTTTTAAACTTTAAAATCTCTGCCCTCCCTGGTCTCCCAGGAGAAGCTAGAAGTTTCAGGAGACCTCACCCATGAGCCCATTTTCTGACAACCTGGCTCCCCACAAGCATGGCAAGTCCCCTAGAGGTTTGTATGGACGAAAAGGAGAGGCCTTATCCACTGCGCCCAGGGCTCAGCCCTGCTTCAGGCGTGTGTTGTCTGTAGCGGGCAGAGGGAAGGGGGCAGGTGGGGGAAGCGTCATGAGTCTGGCTCCCGACACCTGTCCAGGGCCTCAGCCCGCTGGCCTGGACTCTGTTGCTAACACCCGTGCGGCCGTTGCCCGCCCTGCCACCTGTGAAAGTAAAGCGGGGCTCAGGGGAGGGCCTAGCTCAGGGCGTTCTACGCTGAGTTCCTCAGCACTGATGGGGGCTCTCCATTGTCCCCTCTGGCTCTGCCAGTCCAGGAACCCTGATGGAGCAGGGCTGGGGGCCCAAGACTGAGTATGGCCACCCCCTCCGGCAGGTGGGCTGACTCCAAGGCCTGCTGTGTGGCAGAGGAGTGTGGAGGGTGGTGGCGTGGGGGTGGCAGCTGTCAGGCCCAGGTGAGAGGAAGGCAAACAGAAAGGGATATATCCTCCAAAGCAGTGAATCACGAGCCACGACATTCATTAACTCGGCCTAATTAAGAAACAAACATGACGGCCACTGGTGCTGGGCAATTTGTTAACATCCAGTCCTCCTGGTCCCCCTGCCCCCGCTGATGAGGCCCTCTGCCTCCTCCTCAGTCCGAAGAGTGCCCTGGAGAGTCAGCACTGGGGCACTGACAGATGCTCCTGGCCTGTGGGATGGGGAAGGAGGGCTGATGCTCATGATGTATCTCCCTCGTGTCAGGTCCAGACTTTCATGAGGGTCACATCCGTGGGTCCTCACAAGCCCCTGAGAGGTGGGATTCATGGTTCCCAATTTGGAGATGGGGAATTTGAGGCTCAGAAAGCGGGGTGAACTTGCCCAAGGTCTCACACTAAGTGACGTCACTCTTTTCGTCACAATAGATAGTTGTCTTACTTGCAAGACTGAAAATACTTTTAGATTTTCTATTCTGACCTCCCAACTCATGGCTGTCCCCTCCCTAACAATATAACTTCCAGCTCCTTCCAGCAGCCCCCTCCACTGAGTCAGTCTTGAAGGGCATGGTGCAAGAATGCTTTCCAGAACAGGGAAGGTAGGATTTTAATTTTTCTGAAATAAATAGGAAAAATAGGGATAAGAATAGCAATGACAGTGTATTGCAGAGGCAGACGGAAGGGAAGGCTTAGCATATCATGTGCAACAGCCTGCAGGAGGCCATTTTGTCCGGAGCACAGTGAGTGGCTTAGATGGGAGCGGTGAGGGAGGGAGGGGTTGGGGGCACTGAAGAGGTGTACATTTCATTCCAAGGGCATTTTCAGCCGAGGAGATGGTGGCCACCTGCTGCCCTGTGAAGGCTGGATGAGTGATGGCCGGGGGGGCAGGTCCGCAGCGTCAGGGGCTCACATAAGAGATCTGAACTCGAGCTAGATGGGATGTTGTGTTGACAAGAGATCTTTCAAGAATGGCTTGACCTTTCTGTATCCCACGAGTCAACCACAGTGATCTGCAAAGCTATCTCATGAAGGAAATGACTGCGTGAATTTTAGCCCATGCTCTCACTGCGGCCTGGGCGATTATGATATTGGACAGAGATACTAGAGGAACACCCTCCATGCTGGGTCCCACCCAACTCTGCAGTCTGGTGTTTCCAGATTCTCCCTCTGTGCTGTTAGACCTGTGCGGCATCCATCTGGAATGCGAGGATACATCCTTCCAACCTCTCTTCTTCTTAGGCCCACCTGCCCTTGTCCTCGCTACAGCTTTCCCATTAAGGCGTCTGATGACCACAATGTTTCTAAGCTGGAAACCTCCCAACTAACAGCAGGACCCAGAATGCAAGTCTCCAGGGGCACAAAGAGGTACTTCAACAACAGGATGACCCACCCCCAACTACCAACCAAACTACGCTCTGCTGCAAGGCAGGAGACCGGCTTCTCTCAAATACAGCAAAGGCTGTCCCAGATACACAGTGACACACAGACAGTGCCTTGAGTTCGCCTGGTCATTACTTGGAGGATTGATTTGGTCCAAAACTCCTCGAGCTGCCAGGGATCCTAGTTAACAGCCCCATGCATGAAAACCAAGCAGGCCTGGAATTCCACCCTCCTGTCAACAAGCCCAGGAGAGGAAACCAGCGGCTGGGATGCACTTGTGTTTGCCCTGAGAGCAGGGAGCTCCTCCTCCACAGACCAGGCATGGAGGACGGCCCTGGTGGGGCCACCTGCCCATAATCCCCAAGTGACTCTGGAAGATTCCTCCTTTTGAAAATCATGGGGAAGGGGTTACCTGTTATGATTTTGGCATTCTGCCTTCTTTGTGACTGGTGGAAATCCTACAGACTTGCACCAACTTTCCTAAGACAATAGACTTCGGGGTTTAAAACATGTTAACACAATGTCTTTGAAACATTTAGAAATATCTTCACCACTCCCACCAACGTTGAGCATTTGTTTTTAAAAAATAAACACATGGCAAGAATGCCGTGCAGCACGCCAACGCGCAGGGGGCTGTTGTGCAAGCCACCCGCCCACGTGGTGGGTAGGAACCTGCCCACAGCTGTCGCCCTGCTCCTAACAACTCCTCCGGGCACACCCTGCTCATTAGGCCCAGGCCACGCCTGGCCGCCCAGACTCCTGGTTTAACCAGAATGCCAGGGGCGGGTGGGTGGGCGGCTCCTTGAACCCTGAACAATGGGCTATGAAAGAATGAATCTAGGCCCAGGCCTCGGGCCCAAGAGCTGGGCGCTGGCCCTCGGGATCCTCCCACAGCCAAGCCAAGGTTGGGCCTGTGGATCCTGCAGAAGGGGCCAGGGAGCAGCAAGGGGCCCCCAGAGGGAGCTGGCTGAGCTCTAGGC